>NC_000004.12:95588047-95891077 GCF_000001405.40 Homo sapiens | reverse complement strand
TTTTCCAAATAATACATTGAATACTAAAAAGTATTAGAGCAATGTCTTTAAAATCCTTAAAGAAAATCTGACTTAATGATTGTATTTCCAGCCATTCAAGTATAAAGACAAGAATAAATTGTTGTGGCCATGCAATTCAGTTCCCATGAGTCTTCTTGAAGAAACTATCTCCTAAGGAACAAACTTCTGCCGACTAAGAGATGAATGGTTAAAAACTAGCAGAAAGGAAATATTTGACAATTAACATAAATGTAAGGAATATAGTTAATACTATGATTAAAAATAGTGATGATGGGCTTGGTGCAGTGGCTTATGCCTATAATCCCAGTGGAGGCCAGGGCAGGAGGATCACTTGAGGCCAGGAGTTTGAGACCAGCCTGGGCAACTTAGCAAAGCCCTTATCTCTACAAAATTATTTTTAAAAATGGGCAGGCATGGTGGTATGTGCCTGTAGTCCCAGCTATTCTGGAGACTGAGGCAGGAGGATCGCTTGAGACCAGGAGGTCAAGGCTGCAGTGAGCTATCATCACATCACTGCAGGCCAGCTTAGGCAACAGAGTGAGACATTGTCTTTTTCTTTCTCTCTCTCTCTCTCTCAACCTCTATCTGTCTATCTATCTACCTATCTATCTATCTAATGTAGCATTTGTATAACTAGCAAAATTTGAGAGCTCAAAGATTATAATAATTTTTGTGGTAATGTAGTTATGCCAAACTCCTCCTCTTTAACAAGCCAGATATAAGATATGTAAAGCTGATACATCAAACAATAAGAGTGAGTGTGTGTGTGTGTGTGTGTGCGTGCATATACACACACACACACACAAATAAAATTAATACAATCTCATGAAATCGAAGAATGAATAGAAAAGGACAAACATTTTGAATCAGAATTTGCTCATTGTAGGGAAACAAATTATTAAGACAGAGAAATTTAAATGCATCATACTTGCCCATACTACCTCTGCCACCACCAACAGGCCATAGTTCCTCATGCAGCTAAAGCCCCCGTACCCTGTTCAGTTACCCTTTATTGTTAGAAATAGTTGTATAACATATAAAAAAACCAAACAGTCAAAGGATAGCAATTGAAGGGTTTGTGGAGCTGGAATTCAGGAGCAGCTCAGTTGGACAATACTGGCTTGTGGTTTCTTGTGAGGCTGTAGTCAGATGTCATCTGCAACTCCAGTCATCTTTAGGCCTGACTAGGGTGTGAGGATCGCTCTCCAAGGTAGTTCAGCCATATGGCTGGCGAGCTGGTACTGACAAGGAGGTTTCTCTCCATGTTAAACTCTCTCCATGAGACTGCTTGTGTGTCCTTATAACTGGTAGCTGGCTTCCCCATGTTACTACTCCAGAAGTCCAGACATAATGTACTTCTCACCTGGTTTAAGAGGTCAGAAACTGTCTCTGATGCTGCATTCTACTGAATACAAAAGCCAACCCTATTTCAATGCTGCAGAGACTATATAGGGCTTTTAAAATATTGTGATGTGAAGGGTATTGGGACTTCCTTTGAAAGAGTAGAAGAAAGAAACGTCTCATGAAGTCTGTTCAAAACTAGTATATAAACAATTCTATTGAATTCAGTTGGCCAAACCAGGTCATAAGGCCAGCCCAGATTTAAGTTGTAGGGAAATGGACTCCACGTTTTAATGGCAGCACCGCCAAAACCACACTGCAAGAGATGTGGATACCATTGAGGGAATAGTTGTGCCCATTTTTGCCAAAACTCTACCACAATATTTTATATAAACTAAAATTAAACAAGATAAACACATATGATAGCTCAGCTGATAAAGATCTTGTAAGAAGTAAGAGAGAAGGAAAATCTCATTTATATAACTGTCCTAGGTTTCTCTGGTGTGACTTTGGTTGTGCTCTGTAATTTATTTCCATTCTTCAGTCAAAAAGTTTCACAATAAATTGATGTTTTCACTCTCTTCTCACAATGCTGCAGTAATTCCCAATTTGCCTCTAATGTGCAATTAAGTTCCTGATCATAGGTTTTAAGATCTTTTACTAATTTGAAAATTGACGGTTCATCACTTCCCAGTGGCCACATAATTGACATATTTTCATTTTAGTGCTTTGAAAGTCACAGAAAAAGAAAACACATTAGGCATCAATCCAATATGAATGCCAATCATCCTCCCTGATGTATAATAAAACTAGGGCCTTCACTGTTAATATCTTCTACCAATTAGTGTAAACATACATATACTTCCAATCTCTATATACATCTACATTTTTTTCCTATAAATTTAGGAATTTGTCATTTATATTTTCACTTTATATTTTTTCTTCCATTTGATTTCTGACAATTTGAGAAATGTGACTGTTTTTCAAAATGGACTTTGAATAAAAATCTCCCAATAAATGTAGATGGATTTAGGATTAAGCTACATCTCTTATAATTGAGACGACAATATTGAAGTATTAGAAAAATGGGCAAACTGCTAAAAAATATGACTACCATTGGGTTTATCACTCTGTCTTCACTCAATAGGACTATCACTTGTGATAACTCTGTATTTAAATGAACTGGGATGACTTTGTAATTTGGAGAAGTTTCACAAGAGAAAATTAAATAATTTAAAACTATTTTCATATTTGGTAGGCAGGCTAAGATTTTTTTTCCACCAGAATCTTCTTGAGTGATAAATGTGTACAACTGGAAAAAAAACTTTGATCATTTGATCCAGGATTGAAAAACTTTCTCTGAAAGGTACACATAATAAATATTTAGGCTTACAGGTCATAGGGTCTGTGATGCAAATATTCAACTCTGGTGTTGCAGTATGAAAGTAGTTATACACATACATACATGAAGGAACATGGCTATGTTGCAATAAAACACTATTTACCAAAATTGGTCCAAGAGCATTAGCGCACCAGTTGATTTAGTCCAGTGTGCTAATTTTTCAAATGAGGAAATGACTGATAGAATATTAAAATGATTGTCTAATGTCACACAGTAGTTTTAAAAGAATTAGAAAAAGAATTCAGGTCTTTTGAACTCCTACCCAGTACAATTGTCAAAATGAATGCTAAAATTTGTGGATTGAAAAAATATGGTGTCTGTATATAAGTGTAATAGTGTGTCAGCAGCAGCAGCAGCAGTAGAAATAGTAATGGTAGATAGCATCTAGCAAAAGCAGATCTTCGGAGAATAATATAAAAGTAGCATACTATGCAATCTGAAAAGCATTGCCCTTGAGTGGCAGCCCTTTTGGAGGGATGCGATAACTTGTCTCCTGAGATTAACATAGATACTAACTTTTTAACGTTAGCTTAATTGGTATTATTTTGGGAAGTACTAATTTGTTCTGCACACTAAACTGAGAGAGCAAATGGCTCCTTAAGGGCCTCCATGTCTGCCAATAGACTAATTCTAAGCAATTGGAAAAGCAAATTAGATTTTCTCAGAAAATGTATGGAATAAAATTCTTTTAGTACTAGATACCATAAGGAAAAAAAGGACAAAATCTGCTTGACAGAGTAAATACATCAGAGTCAATGATGAAGAGATTCTGGACCAAATACTTACTGTGGTAAATTGGGAAAAAGAGTGGTAGTGATAATGATTCAAAATTGGCAATATATAACGTGATTCTTCCAGAGTCCTATGATTCGACCAAATTTTGATCCTGAGCAATTTGTTTCAGTTGCTCAGTGAATGTGTTTATGCACAGAAGCATTTATTAGTAGTAGTTTCTACTTTTCATAGTTTGCTAGTAGAAACCATGCCATATAAATGAAAGTGATTTACCATGAAAAAGTTATAATTAGCTATTGCCTTCCTAACCAATGTTTTGGCATCAAATAAATCATATATATATATACCCAACAATGTCATAAAACCAAAGTTATTAGAATTATATAAGTCTGAATAATTTTCCCCACTAAAATTATGCCAGCAAATATTGTAAAATGAACACAGGTTCAATATGCACATGTTCTTCAGTGGTTTCTAATTTAAAGTTTGGATAATAGCTCATAAATATACAGTTTGACTACACTGAACAAGTAACCCCAAACTGTTATGTTTCTTATAAATAACATTAAACATTTAATTAACAATTCTATTTGCCATGATAGAACTTAGAAAAGCTTTGTTGAAAAGTTATTAATTAGAAATATATCTTTTCAAATAAAATTGGTATTTTCTTTGTGCTCAATCTACATCTAAATTTCAAAGTACATATTCACAGTATCTCCAGTCACTTCAACGCTCCCATCATTATTCTTGTCAAAGATAATATTTCTCTTCCAAAATGTTTTTAAATATTAGAACTAAGCCAATTTATATCCCTTTCTTTTTATCCTTTCTTACCTCCTCATTTTATGCAAAGCTGCTCAATCTCATTCTAAGAGAAGTTTCCAGTGAACAATAAATGGTACAAAGCCTTGGTTGAATGAGCTATCAGAAAACTTTACACTTAAGCTATGATAGCAAAGATCAAGTCATCATCAAAGGATTTTAGAACTTAAAAATAAATCTTAGTGAATTACCTCTATAGGAATAATATATTATCATTGGGCTGCAAAACTGCTTTAAAATTTATATAAGAGAAAAAGATAAATAAAACTTTCAAATATTTGGGGTATGGATGTTAAGCATTAAGTGTAGTTCTTGCACAGCTATTAAAAACAAATCACTGTCAAAATTAAATGGTGTGGGACTTCTGTTCCAGACAAGTATATCTGGTATAGACCTGCTTCTTCTTGCTCCTCCCTGCTAAGCACAGCTGTAAGCTGGAAATAATGCAACCAACAACCAAAGAAGAACTCTGGAAGGTGACAAGAGAACAGACCGGTTTGGGATCCCAGGGTTGGAGGAAAAACAGAGTAGCGGGGAATGTCTTACATTTACCCCAACCAAGAGGAGAAAATGAAGTCAGACCAGGCATTTGCTGATCCCAACCTAGCAACAGAAGGCAGCCCACATATTCTAATTTCTCTTCTGAGATCAATTAAGAGTACCTCTGAGAACACTGGACAAGTCTGACACCAATAAAAGGAGGATCAATCAACAAGTAATCCCATCAATTTAAATCAGCCATGAAGCACTCCCCTTTCCCACTTGATTGAGATTCTCTTCCCCTCCAAGAGATACTGGAAACAATGAGTGGAAGCAGCAGGAGGGACTCAGTCACAACAATTGGCTTGGTCTTGGATGCCTCTTTGGTCCTGAGACACCCATTTTCTACCCAGCAACACTGGGTAGGCAAGAGAAGCCAGCAGAACCTTCTAGAGGGACCAAGCCATAGCAAGAATTCCTGCCTGAGGAGTCTCTTTTACGCAACTTCCTTTGAGGAAGAATTATGTCAGATGGGCAAAAGAGGCAAGAGGACTCAACAATGGTAATTACCCAGGCCTAGAAAACTCCTCTCTGTCCAGGGTCACTAGCGCTGGTGGCAGAATCAGCAATAGGGACCCAGTAACAACAAGCTGCCAGACCTAGGACATCTCTTTTACACTCCTGACCTGAGAATCATCTTCCCTACTCAGAGAAACTGTGAAGTAGGGGTCATGGGTAGTGGATCCCTTGCCACCCTTCTGCCACTGTGAGAGACACAGCAACCCAGACTGAGAAAACTCCTTCCACACACTCAGGGAACATCAACAGGCAAGTGGGAATTCCTACAGTACCACATAAACCAATCAGATCAAAATAACACCACCAAGGTTCTAACATTTAAATTGCCATTAGAATTACAGGATTAAAAAGTAGGCTAGAAATAGGGTAACTGCTTTAAAAAAATGAAATAGAATCCAGAATCTCCTAATATAATAGACAAAATGGCCAGGATACAATTAAAAGTTAGCTATTATTCCAAGAACCAAGACAACCACAACCTAAGTGAGAAAAGACAATTGATATAACACTAAGATGAATCAGATGTTGCAATTATCTAATATGGATTTTCATCATAGTTAATGAAGTCATCGTTACTATGCTTCAATATTTAATTTCAAATTATCCTGAAACAAGTGACAACACAGAAAATTTCAGTAAAGAAAGAATACTTATAAAAATAACTAAATGGAAATTATAGAAAAAAACCCATAATGTTAAACTTCATGAACATAATAGGAGTGGAGATGACAGACATTAGAAACAGTGAGTTTGAGGACAGGTCATAGAATTTACCTAAACAACAGAGAAAATAGACTGAAAAAGTTCAGCAGAGACTGAGGAGCCTCTAGAACAATATAAAAGATCCAAATTTGTATCATCAGTCTCAGAAGAGAAAGAGTGAGTCTGAAGGAATGTTTGAAAAAATAACTGAAAACTTTTCAAATTTTACAAAAGATACAAACCTACAGATCCAAGAAGCTGAATGATTCCAACAAGATGAACTCAAAGAAATCCATGTCAAGACACATCATAATTAAACTTTCAAAAAGTAAAGACAAAGAAAAATTTTGAAAGCAACTGGAAGAGACACTACAAAAACACAAATTCAAATGATAACAGATTTTAGATAGATATAGATATATCTATAGAATAATCCTATGAATACTCCACAAAGAGATGCACTAAATAACGCAATAAATAAAGCAATATGAAATCTTAAAAAATATTCAGGTAACCAATAGAAGGCAAGAATAGAGAAACAGGAAGAGGAATGAGAAACAGGAGAAACAAATAGAAAGCAAATTAAATGGCAGTTTTAAGCAACATCATGTTAATAGTTACCTTAAATGTTAATTGCTTAAGTATACCACTGTAAACACAGAGATGGACAATGTAGATATGAAAACACAATCCAACTATAGCCCATAGAAACACTTCAAATTTGACAGACGTAGGTTGAAAGTAGGAAGATAGAAAAATATATGTGATGCAAACATTAATCAAAGAAAAACAGTAATGGCTATGTTAGTATCTGATAAAGTAGAATTTAGAGCAAAGAAAATTATTAGAGACAAATAATGATAGTTATCAATATTTTAGAAAGACATAGTGATTCTAACACTGCATGCATCAAACAACAGAGCCTGAAAGTACAGGAAGCACAAGCTGATAGAACTGAAAGGAGAAACAGACAAATCCACAATTATGGTCAAGGACTTCTACATCTTCCTCTCAGCAACGGATAAAATTACTACCTACAGTGAGAAAATAGAAGATCTGAACAACATCAGTCAGCAGGATCTAATTCACAAATATAAAACATGTCACCTAACAATAGCACAATATATATTTTCTCATGCACCCATGGAAAAGTTACCAAGACCATATCCTGGAACATAAAACAAACTTAAACAAATTTAAAGAATTTTAAAGTGTAATCATACATAGTATATTCTCTGACTATAATGGAATAAAATTAGAAAACAAAAAAGGGAAAACAGAAAAATCTTTAGACACATGAAAATTAAATAAGTCACTTCTAAATACATGGATAAAGAGTGTCAATGGATATTAAAAATATATGCAGGTAAATGAAAACAAAAACACAGCCTACATGTGAGGTGTAGCTAATGCAGTGCATAGAGGAAAATTTATAGCTCAAAAGGCTTACATTAGAATGAGGAAAGATCTCAAATCAATTTTCTATCTTAAGAAACTAGAGAAAGAAAGAGAAAAATAAACCCAAAGAAATGAAGGAAACAAAGATAAGAGCAAAAAGTCAGTGAAATTGAAAATAGAAAAAAATAGAAAAAATCATTAGGAAAAAACTGAGGTTTTTTTTAAATCAGTTAAATTGATAAATCTCTAGCAACATATACAAAAAACACAAATCAATATCAGGAATGAAATAGGAGATATTACTACAGATCCTATAGCCATTAAAGTGATAATGAGGAAATATTACAAATGACTTTTGCTCATAAATTTAACAATTTAAAAATAATGGAATAATTCCTTCAAAACTATCAACTATTAAAATTCAACAAAAATGAAGTGCATAACGTCAATAGCTGTATAATTGTTAAAGTAATTTAAAACTGGTAATTTAAAAGTTCCTACTAAAGAAATCTTCAGAACTAGATGGTTTTAGTGCAGAATTATACCAAATATCAAAAATGAATTAAAACTGATTCTATACAATCTCTTCAAGAACACAGAATGGTAGAGAATGTTTTCCAACTCATTTCATGAGGCAAATATCCTGATGACGAAACCAGAAAGGACAACAAAAACAGGGAAATATACAGACCAACATCTCTCATGAATGTAAGTACAAAAATCTGAAACAAAATATTAGCAAATTTAATCCATTAATGTATAAAAATAATTACATACCATAACAAAGTGGTTTTTTTCCCCTTGTGCCAGGCTGTTACAACTTTAAAAAAAATCAGTGTAATTCATCATATCAACAAGCTAAGGAAGAAAAACATATATCATTTGATGCAGAAAAGCATTTGAGAAAATCCAGTAGCTATGCATAATAAAACACTCTCAGCAAGTTAGGAATAGATGAGAATTACCTGAGTTTAGTAAAAGCCATTTGCAAAATATCTACAGATGACATCATATCCAATGGTGAAAGATTAGATGCTTTGTCCCTAAGATAGGGTGCAAAGCAAGGACGTCTGCTCTCACCACTCTTATTCTATATGTAGCTGGAAGTTCTAGCCACTCCAATAAAGAAAAATATACAGATTAGAAACAACAAAAATAGAACTGTTTCTATTTACAGATGATTTGCTCATATGCATAGAAAATAACAAGGACTGTAAAAATACAAAGGAACCTAAAATGCATTGGACATACCAAGGAATCTAGCCACTGCAATAAATAAAAAAATCAGATTGGAAACAAATAAAACTATGTCTATTTACAGATGACTTGTGTATATGCATAGAAAATACTAAATAATCTAAAAATACCACAGACCCTAAAATGTATAGAAAATACCAAGGAATCTAGCCACGGCAATAAAGAGAAAAAAGACATACAGATCAGAAACAAAGAAATAAAACTATCTCTATTTACTGATGACTTCCTTAAATGTATGGAAAATAGCAAGGAATATAAAAATGTAGTACTAGAACTGATAAGTGAGTTCATCAAGGAGGTAAGATATAAGATCAACACACAAAAGAAAATCACATACTGACAATGAAGATACGACAAAATTAAAAACAATAACATTAACAGTTACTCAAAAAATGAATTATGTAGGTATATACTTATCAAACTATGTACATTACATATGTTGAAAATTACAAAATTGTCATGAAATATATTTTAAAAATCTAAATTGACAGACATACTATGCTCATGGATTGGATGATGATTCATCACAGTAAAAATATGAGTTCTCCCAAACTGATCTGTAAGTTTAATGCAATTCCTGTAAAAAAAATCGGGAAGAAGTTTTGTAGATATAGATGAGCTTATTTTTTAAATTATATGGAAAACCACAGGCTCTAGAGTAACTAAAACAATCTTGACAAAGAAAAATAAAGTGGGAAAAATTAATCTACCTGAAATGGAAAGCTTGCTATATAGCTCCAGTTATCAAGATATGTAGTATGATTGAGGGCTTCAACAATAGACCAACGAAACAAAATGTGGAACTCAGAAATAGACCCACACAGATATACCAACTGAATTTTGCCAAAGATACAAAATGATTCAATGCAGAAAAAAAGTAGCCTTTGCAACAAATGGCACTGGAGCAATTGAATATCCATAGGCAAAAAAATTAAGCTTTGACCTAATCTTATACCATATGAAAATTAACTCAAAATAGATTATGGACTTGAATGTAAAATATAAAACTATGAAACTTTTAGAAAAAATAGAAAATCATTGGGATCTAGCTCTCAGCAGAGTTTTTAAATTGATTCCAAAACCTATACAAGGAAAAAACTGACAAATTAGACCACATTAAAATTAAATAGTTTTTCTTTGTACAAAAACATCTATTAAAAGGATCAAAAGATAAGCTACAGACTAGGAGAAAATATTTGAAAAATATTTATTGAACAAAGGCCTGGTATCTAGAATATATAAAGAACCCTGAAAACTGAGCAATAAAAATTCAACAATCCAATTAGAAAATAGGCAAATGAAGTGAACGGACATTTTACTGAAGATGATACACAGATGATAAATAAGGACATGAAAAGATGTTAAGCATAGACATATATCCCATCAGGAAAATACAACTTGAGATTACAAATTGGGTAAAATTAAAAATAGTGACAATACCAAGGATGTTTGGATGCAGAGAAACTGAATCACTTGTAGAATACTAGTGAGAATGCAAAATGGCATAGCCATACTCGAAAATAGTTTGGCAGTTTCTTATAAAAGTAAAATACCCCATAATTATACGTTATAGATGGAATTATATGCCCCCAAAATTCATATATTGAAGTTCTAACTCCCACTGTGACTGTATTTGGAGACAGGACCTTAAAAAGGCAATTAAGGTTAAATGAGTTCATATGGGTGGGACCCTAATCCAAGATGACTGGCCTCCTATAAGAGACACCAGGGGTTTGTATGAACAGGAAAAAGGCCTCATGCGGACACAGCAAAAGGTTGATCATCTGCAAGTGAAAGAGGCCTCAGAAGAATCCAACCCTGCTAGCACCGTGATCTTGGATTTCTTTCCTCCGGAACTATGAGAAAATAAATTTCTGTTGCTTAAGCCATCCAGTCTTTGTTATTTTGCTATGCAGCCCTAGCTAATACACTAATACTCAGCAAATTTATTCTTGGTCATTTTTCCCAGAAGAATGAAAATTGTTTTTGCCAAAACTTGTGTATGGATGTTCATAGCAGCTTCATTTGTAGAAGCCCAAAACTGGAATCAGTTCAAATTGTCCTTCAAAAGATAAACTCTGGTACATACATACCATAGAATATACTTAGCATTAAAAAAGAGCAAACTTCTGAGTCACATAACTAGGATGAATCCTCAGGGAATTGAATTAAATTTAAAAAACAACCTCAAAAAGTTACATATTGTACAATTCCATTTATAAAATATTTGCAATAACAATTTTAAAAGATTGAGGACAGATTAGTGGCAACCAGGGGTTACAAATGGAAGGTATGGTCAGTGGGAGAGGAATAAGAATGGCTGTAAAAAACAATGCAAGAGATACTTGAGGAGTTGGAAACCTTCAGTACCTGAACTGTGCTGGTGCATAAACAGACATATATATCTAATAACATTGTGTCAAAGTAAATATACATACACAAACATAAATGAGTATACGTAAAATGATGGAAATGAGTAAGACTGGTAGATTACATTAATGTCATTATCCTGCCTCTGATACTACATTACAGTTTTACAAAAAGTTACTATTGACTGAAACTGGATAAAGTATACAGGGGATCTTTCTGTATTATTTATTAGAATTCCATGTGACTCTACAGTTATCTCAATAAAAATTTTAATTAACAAAAGAAGGGACTTCTGCCCTCCAAAGCGAAGGAGTAAAAGCTATTTAATTTTAGATTCAGCAAAGAGTTAATGCTGGCCCTACTTTTAGCTCTGTCTCACTTGGATATTGCTAAGAGAAAATTGCAGTTTATAAGCATGTGAAAACGTAAACTGACAAGAATGTTCTATAAATGAGTTTTCAAAGAAAAATGACATTTATTCCTCACCATACAATTTCAAATTATAGGTAGGGATAGAACAGAATGCTGATAAAATGAAAGAGTAACCCTGATTGCCAGTTTGGATCATTACAGATTCTTTATTTCCAACATCAATAGGCTCCTCAAGGTCCTTCCATATTTTCTAATTTGATATCATGCCCATTTTCTGGACAGCCATTTCAGACATCATACTTGACAGAGAGAAAACACCATCACCACCAAAAAGAAAAATGAAATATTTTTCTTTCTCAACTACAAATATAAAACATTCCCATATCTGCATACTCTTTTCTCTTTCCCACTCGTAGGATGTAAGTGGTGTTCCTCGTTTTATGTGAGACCAGTTGCTCTTTTAGAATGTTGTGGGAAGTTTTCTCTTTTCCTTTTATTAGTTGATATTCTATAAATAAAGGTTTTCCCTTTTTAATTTATTAATTTACTGTTCAGTGACTCATGCATGCATTCATTCATATATACCAATATCAACTTATAGATTTTTACTTTATTCAATGGGCTATAATCAATTTCTATCATTATTTTGGAAGTCAAATTTTCCTGGATTTGGTTAAGAGAGATTCCTCTCAAGTTAAATCTTGTGTCCTTTTGAGTATTCATGTCATTCTTTAAGAACTTTCTTTTTTTTCCTCCCACAACGAGATATTCCTAGCTCTTCTTGTACTTTTCCCTGCCCCAGCTTTGGAAGCAGGCTTTTCTTTAAGAGGTCCTGGTACTTTTTGGTGAATGGTAATATTTAGAAACCAAGATCCAAGTACTAAGTGGGCTCATAGCTACTGCTGCATCATGATTTCTCAGGCCTTTCAGCAAACGGAGCTAGGAAAATATGAATATTTGTATACATATTTATGTATAAGTATTACATTTATGTATCAAATTTATATATGCTCATATCTACATTTATTTTATATGTATTTAAAACTGAGTTCATAAATCTCTAATTCCATATACCACTCCATATATAAGATTGTAATATGTTCTTAATTTATTCTTTATTAATATCTCCTCCCCTCCATAATGGAAGACTTTGTTTCCATATTCCTCAATCTATTTACTCATTTGTTCAAGCCTAGAATACACAGAAAGGGGTTTCAGAATTGCCATCTTCTATTACTGCAAAAAGTAAACCTACCAACTAGGTTTCAATATTAAGGGCATTTTTTAAAGTAAAATTTATATACAACAAAGTGCGTATAAATCAAAAGTGTACAATTTCATAATTGTATGCATCCACTTGTTATGATTCACACTTCGAGATATAGAACATTTCCATTAGCCAGAAAAGTTATGCATTCCCATTTCCCAGGTATTCTTGCCACCGCAAAGACAACCCACTTTCCGATTTTTACAAAAATATCAATTAACTATACCTAATATAGAATTTCATATCAATAAAATCACACATAGGTAACTTTTATGCCTAGCTTCTTTAGCACAGCATGATGGCTCTGAGCTTTATACATATTTTTGTGGCTATCAATATTCCTTTTTTTATTTTTATTATTTTGCTGAAAATTATTATACCATATGAATACACTACTTTAATCATTCTTATGTTGAAGGAAATTTGGATTATTTCCAAATTCAAGCTATTATGAATAAAGCTACTATTAACATTCTTATACAAGTCTTTTCATGTCTTTTAGGTAAACGCATACAAGTGAAATTACTCAGCCAAAGGCTTAGGTGCATGTTTTTATTTTTGTAAGCAATTGACAAATTTTTTGTACAATGATGGAGAATTTTATATACCCACCAGCAATTTATGTGATTTCTGGTTACTTCATGTCCTCAACATTTGCTATCAATCTGTTTAATTTTAGTCATTTTACTGTGTATGTAGAGGTATCTCATTATGGTTTAAATTTGCATTTCTCTAATGACTAATGATTTTGACTAATGTTTTGTATGTTTATTGGCCATTTATATATTTTCTACTGTAAAGTGTCTGTTCAAAATTTTACCCATTTTCTTGGGTTGTCATTTTATTATTGAGTTTTGTAATTATATATTCTTGGTATAAGTTATTTATAACGAATGTGTATATATTTTGCATGTATTTTCTGCTAGCCTCCCATTCAGTTAAGTGTCTTGATGAGCAGAATACATGAACTTTAATAAATTATATACTATATTTTTCTTTTCTAAATATTAGTTTGTGACCTGTTGAGTAAATATTTTCCTATCCCAAATCATGTTTTTTCTAGACTCTTTATCCTTTAATTGTTCTTCAGATCTATCTTCCATCTCTAGTTAATTTCTACTTGTGGTCTAAATCAGGAATCAAGATTTCTTTTCACACATTAGCAGTTTTTTCAATACCAATTTCTTGAATAAGCTACTTTTCCACATTGAATTTTTTTGGCACAATCAATTGACTACACAAGTGTGGCTTTATTTCTGGACTATCTACTGTTCTACCGATCTATAAATTCTCTTCACACGTACTCACCCACCATTCAATTACCACCTAACTCTTCCTTTACAAATTACAGCTAAAGTCCTTGAATCCCTTGTCTAGATTTTCTATCACCACTTCCTCACCTTGCACTCACTTCTTAACTTACTGAAATTTGGCTTCTGCCTCCACTAACCAACTAAAACTTCCTACCCTAAGATCACCAATGACTTCTATATTATATTGAATAGGCATTTTTCAGGACTTAAGTTTCTTAGACATTTTGTAGTATTTTACATTGTTAATTTGGCCACTCTGTCATGCTTGAAAAGTTTTCTTATCTTGACTTGTGTAACTTCACATTTTCCATTTTCCCCCCAACTCTTTGACCATTCCTTATCCTGCTTTCTAGTCATCTTTCTCTGTCCTGGCATTGAAGTTGATCTTTTTCTGTGTCCTTCTCCAAGCCTCCTTTTCTGTAATAGTCTCTGTCTGAACATTTATATGTCTCTAGCTAACATCCATATGCTGGTGAATTCAGAATTTTTTTTTTATACTTTAAGTTCTAGAGTACATGTGCACAATGTGCAGGTTTGTTATATATGTATATATGTGCCGTGTTGGTGTGCTGCACCCATTAACTCGTCATTTACATTAGGTATATCTCCTAATGATATCCCTCCCCCCTTATCTCCAGGACAAATAACTCTCTAGTCTTTTAGTCATGTACATTAAACTGCCTACTGGACACCTCTGTTTGGGTGACTCAAAGGCAACCCAAAATAAGCTTGACTAAAATTCAATTAATGATTTTCAACTTGTGCTCGTCTGCTGCGCTCCCTATCTTTGTAACTAAGCAAGAAACCTAATTGTGTCTTCTTCAACTTCATCAATTGCCACCATTTAAACAAACTAATGACTATAGTGTACTTGACACAGTACTTTGAATATGAATACTAAATCAGTAACTGTCATTTGGATCAGCAGAGTAGCCTCGTACTAAATAGCTTACATTTCAGAGCCAGAATGCCTGGGTTGAAACCCTGGCTTTCCCACCCACTAGCTATGTGAATTTGGACAAGTTACTTAAATGTTCTGTTGCTCAGTTTGCTCATCTAAAACAGAAATTATAATACTATCTAACTGAGACATTTTCTGGGCGTATTAAATGGCTTAATATAAGCAAAACACTTAGATGAGTATGGGAACATAGTAAGTGCCATGTAAGTATTAACTGTTGTTATTGCTACCACAGACATCATCCAAATTTTTGCAAAGTTTTGATGAGTCAACTTTCTAGACATCTAGCAAGTCCATTTGCTTCTTGCAATTCTTTCTGGCATTAGTTTAGGGTATACATCCGTGCTTTTCTACCTCAACTACTACAGTAGCCTCCTATGTTATTCTCTTGTCTTTGGTTTTGACCTCTGTCCCTTAGTTTCCTCTGCCCCCAAATTATACTTCCTAAACAAGTAGCCATCATTTCTTACCCTACTTGATATCTTTCAGTGGCTTCTCTTTTTTTTTAATAAAGGAAAAGTTAATCAAAATGTAAAAATCCATTCGTGATCTTGCCTTTGTTTATTTCTCCTGCCGAATGGCTTGTTACCTTTGAAATTTCACTCTGCATTCTTACCAAAACCAAAAATACCTTATTTCAGATTCTTGAATATACCATGTTCACTCTTCATTACAGGTTTTTGCACATTCTATTTCTTCTGGGTGGATTATTTTCCTCCTCACATTTTGATTGGCTTCCTCCTACTCAACTTTCAGGTCTGTGTTTAAACATTATGTCTCCAACACCAACTATAGGCTCCTGTGGCACCATGCACTGCTCCCTGTAGAACACTTATCACATGGCAAGGCAATTGCCTGTTTGCAGGCCTCTCTTTATCACTAAACTGCAAGCTCTTTGAAGCCAGGGTACCTATTTAACTTTTATGTTTTTTTATCCCAGCTCCTACTGGCATAAAGAAACAACTGGCACAGAGGGTGTGTTCAATGTGAACTGACTGACTGAATGACTTATCATGAACTAAGAAAAGAAACCTACCATATTTAAAGTGTAACAAATAAAAAGCATTAATTCAGGAATGGGAATTATGCTCACATAATTTACTCTTCTAGGTAATAAGTGGCCCAGCCTGAAAAAATAAATTTTAAAAAAGAGAAATAGATAAATTAATTTTTTAGAGAATCATAGTTTATTGAGGGAATGTTATAATGTGAGGGGAAATAATAGCTTTTATTTTTATAAGTGCTTATATTTTCTAGGTGTTGTACTAAACTATCCTTTTTTTCCCATACAACCATCCAGTAACACACTGTTATTACACCCTTTTTACACATAAGCTAACTAAGGAAAAAGATTATTAAGTAATGGAAATTGGATACAATCCAGTCTTGGCCAATTCCAATCCTACAGTCTTAACCACCATGCTAAAATCCACACTAGCACCTAATGCACTCCTCACAATAGCAATTGAGGACTGCTAGCAAATGTTCTGGAGCCAACTGGGATGAAAAACTGATATTTTGCCCTATCTGATAAACTGGCATCCTACCCCCTTACCCCCCACAATAATTCTATTCTATGCATAAAGCATTCAAGAGTCAGACAGAGAAAATGGAATAGCAAGGCAAGACCCTCTACCATATTTTTCACTTAATTTTTAACCAAAATAAATAAAATTTTCTTAATAAAGGTAGACAAAAATTTTGCCACCATTCAATGAAAAATACAATTCTTTCCATTCCAAAAATTGTTTACCTTCTTAAGAGCTTAGCAATCTCTCCACAGAGTACTTAGCCCTGCCATCAAAATTTACAGTCAAGTATTATATAAATGTATATGTATCTAAAATATGAAAAAAATCTATTGCATAATGCGGTTTCATTTAACTTTTCTAGTGACTGCTTTATGACAGTGACCTACATGGTTTGAAAATGTAATGTGACAAAAAATATATCTGCTTTCCATCCCAAGGACATTCTTGAAAATGAGCTGTAATATTTCAAGAGTTTTATCCTCATGAGTAAGATGTTAATAAATAGATAAATCTTTAATACTTGCCAAGTCATGAGCATTTATTCAGTAGAGATAAAAGAAGAGCATGATGTCTGAGTGGGCTGTACTAGATTATAAAATGTTTTAATTTTGTTACCACTATAGAGTTTAGACCAATCTGACAAAGTATGCTTGGTCAAATGTTGAAGGACATCACAAATGGAGTAAGGTTCCAGCATGAGTCTATTTAGAGAGTCAGACAAAATAAGCCACCCATACCAGTGATGCAATGTGAAATCCACATTAAAATTCTCTCTAGAATGACCTGGAGGAATAAAGTGACTAGCTATGAACCATCCTTCTGCTTACATACTTCCTCACATTAGAGGACAGAATATCAATTAGGCTTAAAGAGAATATTTCAGAAAACAAAAAAATGTTCTTCAACAGACTTACTGATGGATTGAGACAAATTATTTAATAAATATGATACTGTTGATTTTGAAAATAGTTTTGTCTAAAAGTTATATCTGTATTTACATGTAATTTAAAAATGTTTCTGTAGTATTTGGATTGTGCATATTTTGTAATAGCAATAATAAATAATACATAGTATTTATTTAGATGTTGCCAAGTACACTAAATAATTTTCCTATACTTAATCCTATCAACAACCTTTTGATACAGCCACTATTATACAACCATAATAAAAGCATTACCTACTTGAAATTCCCATAATACCATGACATGATCTTATTTTCATAACCAGTGTTTCAAAGATTATGAAACTAGGTTTAGAATAATTGAATAACTTGTGTTAAAATTCATACTAAATAGAGAGATGAGCCTCCAACACAGGGTCTCCTGACCTCGGAATTCCTGCTCTTAACCACAGGGCTTTCCACTACCTTATCGTATATTTAGTTTAAGTAGTGCCATTTCCCAGGTTCATATTGATTGTAAGAAAAACTGCGGGTTACTACAACCCTTCTTTGTTTAGACAAACCACTGCCTATGAATTCCTCCTGTATTGTTTGTAAGAATACATCATTCACCACCCATACTTTCTCTTCAAAGAAACCAATATATTATCTAATTATTTTATTATTTCTTGGATGATAGTCGTAAATCAGTAAACCTCAAGTTAAACCCTGTTTCCCACAATTACAACATCATATATTAAGATTACAATATTGGAAACCCATTTTGAGCCATAAAATATATTTTAGATGTTCCCCCAAAATAATTGAGTAAAATGACACAAATATCTGCTTTTAAAAATACTTTAGACCAATCATTTAATATAATTGCTATGATAATATATTTCTGCATAAGCTGGACTGACTGGTTTAGACTTCTTAAAATAGGAGTTAATTTAGGTTTGTTCTGATGACAATGTTTCTGATAAACTCATAGCAAGTGTAAGCCTCTATTGCTCCAAGATGCAGCAAATTTTGTTCAAAATCAGTATCATGAGTCTCACATTTATTTTTTTTTCTCAGTGAGTGTCAATATGTTTCTCAGAGTGTATTTGAATGGTAAATGTTAGAGTAGAGGTTATTTTTGTGAAAGCTTATTGAATGATCTCTTTGATGAAAATTAACAATTACCAATGACTGGCTTACATCAGCTTCTCATTGTTACAGAACATTTAGCTCACCTCACTATTTAATTATACATTCTGCAAATATTTCTTGGGCATCTACTGGGTGCCAGGCACTATTCTTGTGCTGGGAACACAAAAAATACAAGATCTACCCTTCTTCTTATAAATGTTTTATTGGTCACAGGTATTTGTAAACACAGATGATCCATGAATTACAATGGTTCAACTTACAATTTTTTAACTTCATGATGTTACAAAAGCTATATGCATTCAGTAGAAAGTGTATTTGGAGTATCCATTCAACCATTCTGTTTTTCACTTTGAGTACAGTACTTAATAAATTACATGAGATGTTCAACATGTTATTATAAAATATGCTGTGTTAGATTATTTTTTCCCCACTCTAGGCTAATATAAGTGTTCTGCATACTTTTAAGGTACACTAGGCTAAACTATGACATTTGGTGGGTTAGGTGTACTAAATGTCTTTTCAACTTGAGATATTTTCAACTTACAATGAGCTTATCAGGATACAACCCTCTCGTAAGTTGAAGAACATCTGCATGAAATTTGGTAATTACTATGAAGAATTTTTAAGAGTTAGCATTGTAAGACTTTTTTTCTACTCCTTTTTCTCAGTGCTAAGATTACATACACCCTCTCATTTACAGAAGCACACTTCTGAATAACTCCTCTATTTAAGGCAGCCAGAAGCTCTGCACCGTCATATATGAAATACAAAGAAACAAATCTGCGAGGGAGAGTGGGGAATGAGATAACCTTAATATCTGAAAAATGTCATTAGGTCAAATGCCTTTTGCAGTTCCATGGCTTAATGAAAATTTATCTGAGCTCAAGGATACCTTTACTATATCAAATTATTTAACTCTGTTTTAGACAGTCTGTAGTTTAATAATCACATATATCATCTTCATGTCATGGTAAAAGGTAATGGGGGCAAAACATGTATATTCATCAGCAATAATTATCAGAGGAAAGATTAATTGTTACCAATAATAATTAGTCAAGTTGATAATTAATGACCACAACATACCTACTACAGCATTAAAAAGGCAATTATATTACTCATTACTACATCTCATCTGTATCATCTAGCAAATTATAATTGTAAATGATAATACATATTGGGGACATTATTGCTGCATAACTAATTGAAGATGTATTTTTAAGCCATGATTCACCGACTGATTTTATGCAAAGGATATAATGTAAATAAAGGATATAAATGTAAATTTATTGCCATAAATTTACTGCAATAAAATTGAAATATCCTATCTTATATTAGAGAATGTATATAAACGTATTTGTTAAAATGTAATAGATGTAACTCTTATTCCATCTGGAATTCAGAATTACTAAGACTAGCTAGGGAATAATCTCATGGAATTTAATTATTTTTCATAAACTAAATATAGAAGCAAGTCACATTTGAAAGATGAGAACATTGAGAAAAGCAATAACAAAAAGTAATAAATAATAGAAATCAACTGAAAAACTTATATGTGAAATTTGAGCATATAAATAAAAACTATGTAATAATACTCATATCTCTTCTACCTTTACAAATGCATATTTTACCTGGAAGAGAGAGAGGGGGTACTAAGCAACTTTAAAATGGAAGGAGCATGACAAATATAAATTTTACTTGAAAATGCAGATATAAATAGGATAGGTAATTAACAAGTAGATACAGAGATATATAGATATCTTTATACCTAGAGATATATCTATATATATATATCTATATAGCTCTATCTCTATATCTAGATATCTGTCTATATATAGCTCTATCTCTGTATCTAGACATATATCTAAATATATCTATATAGCTCTCTATATTTTTTTTTCTTGTTTTTAAGTTTGCCTTTCTAGGGCTCACATCTAGGTCAGTATAATTTAGTGGTCAGCCAATGGTCCATCAGAAGATTTTCTTAAATGCCTTTCTTGTGTATCTACCACCTTTCAAAGGGTGATAAGGCACATCCAAACTTCAGGCAGTTTTCAACACTTCTTTAGCTTTCACTTCCTGCTTCTGCAGGGTTCTGCTCGTTCATATCTGCAAGGTCAGTCAAATGTAAATGACTAATGCCTCCTTTCCCATGTCTTCCCTGGACTTAGGCATAGCCCTTCAGTTAAATCCCCATGAATGTGTTGCAGCATTTCAGAATTTTCTGTGGTCAACTGATTCTCTGGGATTTCTTTTTAAATCCCTCCCCAACTTGTTTGCTCCAACTCAACCACAGCCTTCACTAGCTGTGATGTTGCCAGCAAATTGCTATTGTTTTGGTAATGCCATGGGGTTGGGGCCCCTCTTTTCCATACTGAGTTGAGCTCTGAATCAAATTAACTGGCCACAGCACCCAGGGAATAGAGGTTTTACAGCTGTGATTTCTGACAAAACATTCACTGTTCTGTGGGACACTGTTCTGTGGGACAGAACAGAATTAAATTAATATAATTAAATTAATTTAATATAATTAATTTAATATAATTAAATTAATTTAATATAATTAAATTAATATAATTAAATTAATTTAATATAATTAAATTAATTTAATATAATTAATTTAATATAATTAAATTAATTTAATATAATTAAATTAATTTAATATAATTAATTTAATATAATTAAATTAATTTAATATAATTAATTTAATTAATATAATTAAATTAATTTAATTGTAAATTAATATTTATAATTAAAAAATTATATTTTCTAATTATAGTTTAAGTTCTAGGGTACATGTCACAATGTGCAGGTTTGTTACATAGGTATACATGTGCCATGTTGGTTTGCTGCACCCATTAACTTGTCATTTACCATGAACTCATCCTTTTTTATGGCTGCATAGTATTCCATGGTGTATATGTGCCACATTTTCTTAATCCAGTCTGTCATTGATGGACATCTGGGTTGGTTCCAAGTTTTTGCTGTTGTGATTAGTGCCGCAACAAACATATATGGATAGATAGATAGATAGATAGATAGATAGATATCTAGATATTTCTATGTATATCTATATATAGAGAGAGAGAGAGGGAAGGAGAGAGGTTGTGTATCTAGTATCTGAAATGCTTGGGACAAAAAGTGTTTTGGATTTTGAAATTGGAAGGATTTATAAATATTTGCACTATCTATACCAGTTCAGCATTTCCAATCCAGAGATCGGAAACACTTCAATCAGCATTTTCTTTTTGCATAACGTCAACACACTCAAAAAATTTCAGACTTGGGAGCATTTCAGATTTCAGATTTTTTTTATTAGGACTACTCAACCTATATAGTACAGTGCTTAGTGGCTGCACACCGAAAGGAATACAGAATCTACAGGATTAGTTCAGGAAGGTCACTAAACAAATAAGCAGAAGCAAGAAAAACAACAACAATAAAAATTTTCAAAGTCTAAGCAAGAACAAATCTTGAGGGTTGAGGACTGATACCAGAATGGCTACGATATATAATATTTTCAATTTTAAAAAATGAAACATGCAAAGAAAAAGGAAAGCATGACACATTTACAGCCAACAGAAAATGTCCCTGAGGAGTCCCAGATTTTGATCTTAGAAGACAATGTCTTAAGTTATTGTAGAGAAGTTCAAAGAATTAACAAGATCATGTGTAAAGCACTCAAGAAATGTAAAGACAGTAATGCCTCACAAAATAAAAAAATCAGTAATCACACTTATACTAACATTGGAATAATACAGAGAAGAGTAGCATCACCCCTGCAAAAGGATGCAACACAAATTCATGAAGCATTCCATATTTTTCAAAAAATGTATTTTTAAAAATAAAAATAGAAATTATGTATATATAAGAACTAAATAAAAATGTTTACCTCTCACCAAAAAGATATCAATAAAGTATATCAAATTTATATTTGCTTTAAAAATGCAGATATAAATTGTGAACTTAAAAAGACAAATAACAAAAATATGAGTGTCTCAACACTAGATTTGTGCTGGCAGAAGAGTGAATCAAGAAACTTGAAGATAGGTCAATAGAGATAATCCAATCTTATAAGCAGTATGGGAAATGAAAAAAGAAAATGATCAGAACCTCAGAGAATTATGGGACACCATTAAGTGTACCAAAATAAACAGAAGTCTCAGAGGAGATGAGAGAGACACATTGGCAAAAAGACTGGAAAATTTCAAAATTTTTAACATATTAATCTACACATCCAAGATCAATAAACTCCACATAGAACAGATTCAAAGTCCCACAGCTAGAATGGTCAGAGTCAAATGATGTAATTCAAACACCTTTTTTTTTTTTCTTGAAAACCTCAAGAGAAAATTTACATCAATTATCTGGAATCTTCAATAAGATTAACAGCTGACTTCTCATGTAAAACTATGGATGTCAGAAGACAGTGGGTAGCATGTCCAAAGTGTTGAAATAAAAATACTGTTCATTGAGAATTCAGCTAAACTTGCCTTCATAAATGAATATAAAATTAAGACATTCCCAGGATTTTTAAAAAGAGGAATGGAGATTATTTGTTGCTAGAAGATCTGCTTTACCAAGAAGGTTTTAAAAAAGAGTCGTTCAGGCTGAAAGGACACTTGAAACCACATGAATTTAATAAAGAGCACCAGTAAAGTATACTACATAAGTAAATATAAAACACAGTATAAAAATATTTATCACGGTATTAGTTTGTTCTCACATTGCTATAATTACCTGCCACTGGGTACTTTATAAAGAAAAGCAGTTTAATTGGCTCACAGTTCCACAGGCTGTACATGGCAGGGGAGGCCTTAGGAAACTTACAATCATGGCAGAAGGTGAAGAGGAAGCAGGCACATCATACATGGCTGGAGCAGGAGGAAGAGAGAGTGAAGGGGAGGTGCTCTACACTTTTAAATAACCAGATCTCATGAGAACTCTATCAAGAGGCAGCACTAGGAGGATGGTGCTAAACCATTAGAAACCACTCCCATGATACAATCACCTACCACCAGGCCCCACCTCCAACAGTGGGAATTAGAATTCATCACGAGATTTGGGTGGTGACACAGAGCCAAATTATATCAATAACCCTTTCCTTATCCTATCTGTTTTATAAAAATAATTGCATAAACCAATAATTATAAAACACCATTAATAGGTTTATAATGTATAAAGATAGTTTGTAGGACAATCACAGTTTAAAGAAGGAGAGAGAAATAAGCATATTGGAGCAAAGATTTGTATACCTTTGAGGTTTAGTAGTAACTTGAACTGGATTGTTTAAAGTTATGAGCTAACTGTAATCACCAGGAAAATCACTAAGATGATAACTCAAAAAATATAGGAAACAGTAAAGCAGTGAAAATAGTACACTAGGAAGTATCTGTTTAACATCAAAAAGGCAGTAATTGAGAAATGGACAAAAAAGACATAAGGCATATATAGAATACAAATAGGAAACTGCCAGATGTAAATCCTATAACTTCTACTTTATAAATAATTACATTAAATATAAATTGTTTAAATACTCTGCTCAAAAGGCAAAGATTGGCAGAGTGGACAAAAATGTGTGATCCAACTAAAGCAGTCTGCAAGAGACATGCTTTAGATTCAAAGACAGAAATAGGTTGAAAGTAAAAGAATTGAAAGACATGCCATGCAAACAGTACCAAACCACAGCTGCACTGGATATATTAATATCTAATATAAATAGACTTTAAGACAAAATGTGTTACTAAAGAAAAAGTCATATTCTATAATAAGATCAATTCATCAAGGAGATACAGCAATTGTAAGTACATATGTACCTAGCAACATGGTCCTAAAATATATGAAGCAAACACTGACAGAATAGATGGGGGAACAGACAATTAAGCAATAATAATTAGACTTCAGTAACCCACTTTCAGTCATGGATATACCAACTAGGCAGAAGATAAGCAAAAAAAAAAAAAAAAAAAAAGACATCAACAACACTATAAACTAACTAGACCTAAAAGACATCTACAGAACACTCAGTCCAACAACTGTGCAATACACATTCTTCTGAAGCACACATGGAACATCATCCGGGACACATCATATTCTAGTCATAAAACAACATTCCTAAAGAGAATGAGGCAATGAAAGCAAAAGAGAAATTAGAAAATATTTTGAAATGAATAAAAACAAAAACACAACATACCAAAATGTATAGAATCCAACTAAAACAGTGCTTAGAGGAAAACTTGTAAATGCTTACAGGGTAAAAGAAAAAAATCAATATCCTAACCTTCCACTTCAAGAAATCAGAAAAGAAGAGTAAACTAAATCAAAAACAGGAAAAAGGAGGAGATAACAAATATTATAGCAGAAACATTGATAATCAGTAGAGAAAGCCAATGAAACCAGAAGTTTTTCCCAGAAAAGATCAACAAAAATGACACATCTTTAGCTAGTTGACCAAGAAAATGAAGAAAGAAGACTTAAATTATAATCAGGAATTTAAAAAGGGACATTAATACTAGATTTATAGAAATAAAGAATTATAAGGAAATATTACATGGCAAATATAGGATAAGTTAGATAAAAATGCACAAAATCCTAGAAATAATAAACTAATTAGACTAACACAAGAGGAAATAGAAAATCTGAATAGACCTATAAAAAATAAGAGATTGAATTAGAAAATTTTGTGATCTATGAAGTAAGGCCCTGGCCCAAAAGTCTTCTCTGATTAATCCTATGAAACTGTTAAAAAGATAATACCAGCCCTTCACAAGTTCTTACAAAAATTAGCAGAGGACAGAACATTTTCCAACATATTCTATAAGGTCAGTATTACCCTGATTGAAAACAAAACCAAAAATACAGGCAGAGACATCACAAGAAAACTTCAGACCAATATCCCTTGTGAATATAAATGCAAACCCTCAACAAAATATCAGCAAACAAAACCAACAAGATGATAAAAATAATTATACACCATGACCAAGTGTAATTTATCCCAGGAATGCAATGTTGGATTAACATCTGAAAATCAATCAATATACTGCAACATATTTTAGACTAAAAGTCAAAAATGCTCATATCAATAGATGCAATTGCAACATATGGCAAAATCTAATATTCTTTAATGATAAAAATATTCACTCAGTATGAATACATAAAAACCCCCTCCACTTTATAAAGAGAATACATGAAACTGCACAGGTGACATTGTTCTTAATGGAGAAAAACTGGGTGTTTTCTCTCTAAGATCATAAACAACAAAATGGTATTCACTGTTGCCATATTTATTCAACTTTGTACTGGAGGTTTTAGGTGGTGCAATTAGGAAAAAAAAAGACAAAAAGTAAAACTATTTGCAAATTACATGATCACATATATAGAGAAAAAATTCTAAGGAATTCACTGAAAACTGTAAAACTGAAATGAATTCAGCAATTTGGCACATCATAAGATTAATATGCAAAAATTAATTCTATCTCTATACAGCAGCAATAAAAAATACAAGAATGAAATTAAAGCAATTTCATCTATAAGGCATCAAAAATAATGTGACAAAATAATACATTTAACAAAAACAAAACGTACACTGATAACTACAAAATATTATTTTAAAAATAAAAGATATAAATGGAAAGATAACACACATTAATGGATTAGAAGGTTTAATGTTGTTTATATGAAAATACTTTCCAAATTGATCTACAGATTAAATGCAACCCATATTAAACTCCGAGTTGCCATTATATTGTTCCCAGAAAGTGATAGGCTGGTTTTGGAATAGGAGTGGAAATTTCCTTGCATGGAAATGCAGGGATCCCAAAGAGAGCCAAAACTATCTTTAGAAAAACAGAATAGAATTGGAGAGCTTATACTTCTCAATTTAAAAACTTAATTATCAGCTATCAAGCTACAGTTATCAAAGCAGTGTGGTATTGGCATGAAGATAAGCACATAAAACAGAAATGAGAGTTCCGAAATGAATCCTCACATTTTTGATCAATTGATTTTCAACAAGACAATTCAGTGGGGAAGAATTTTCATTTCAACAAATGATTCTGTGTCAACTGGATACCCACATTGCAATATAATGGGTTTGGCCCCTATCTTACACACAAAAATTAAATCTAACTTGGTGATAGATGTAAATGTAAGCTAAAATTATAGAACTGCTAGAAAAAAAATAAAACTGTTCTGACCTTAGCTTAGATAAAGCATTCTTAGATACGGCACCCAATGCACAAGTGACAAAAGATAAATCAGCCCTGATCAAATTTAAAACTTGTATGCTTCAAGGGGAAGCATTAAGAAAGTGAGAAAATGCACAGAATGGAAGAAATTATTTGCAAATCGTATATCTGACAAGGGACCCATATCCAGAATACATAAGAACTTTGATAACTCAATAATGAAAGATAGATAACCTAACTGAAAAATGAGAAAAATATTTGAACACACATTTCCCTAAAGAAGATATACAAAAATACAGATATACTATTACACATGAAAAGATCCCCAACATTCCCAGAGATTCAAATGAAAACCACAGTGAGATACCATTTTATGTCCACTATGATGGCTGTAATTACAGAGATGGAAAATAATGAGTGTTGACGAGAATTTAGAGAAATAAATCTTTCATACACTGCTGATGAGATTGTAAAATGTTCTGTTTTAGAAAACAATGGGGAAGTTCCTCACAGTATTAACCGATGAGTTACAATGTAACATTGCAATTCCACTGTCAGGCATATACCCAAGAGAAATGAAAATGTATGTTCACATAAAAACCAGTGCACAAAAGAGGAAATAACATAAATATCAAGGAATAGGTTTTAAAAATACAGTGTATCCATACAATGGAATATTAGTCAACAATAAAAAGGAATGAAATACTGATGCATGCTACAGCATGGATAAGCCTTGAAAATATAATCATACTTGAAAGAATCCAGTCACAAAAGGCCACTTTTTATATGATTCTATTTACATGAACTGTCCAGAATAAGCAAATCTTTGGATAAGGAGGGTAGATTTGTTGTTTTCTGAGCTGGTGGTCGGAGGAAGGGATGGGAATGGGGAGTGGCTCTAATAAGTGGGCAATTTGGTTTGGCATGAAGAAAATATTCTAAAATTAAATTTTATTGGTAGTTGTACAACTCCATGAATGTATGAAAAACCAAAGCTATACACTTTAAATTGGCTACTTTTATAATGTATGAATTATATCTCAATGTTTAAAAAAAAAACCACCAGCATCCCCTCCAAAAAATGGAAGAAAAATACAATACAAAAACTCAGAGGAATAATTTTAAATCCTCAATATGTTTTTTGTAATGGAATGAATGAATAGTAAACTATAATAATAAACTCTGTTTCAGCATAAAAGATCCTATGGTTTCCTCTTAGTCTAATTCATCAATGTCACTTAAAGTATTTATAGGGAAAAATAGACAGAAAGCATGTCACTAAGAGTGTCAATTACAGTAAGGATTTGACCTCAGGAGAAAGTTTATTTGCTGTTTGGTATTTTTAGAAAAGTATTTCATGCAAGAAAGTTATGATTGATTTGGTGTATTGCATGTTGATAAAATGCTGAGTGGTGAAGTTTTCCTACCCATGGCGCTTTCTTTTCAAAAATAAATAGACCCAAATTTCCATTTCCATCATCCTTGTGATGGGAGGGAGTCCTCTGACAATTTGATTGAGTTCAGGACCGTAAAGGACAAAGGAAAGAAACCCTGAAAACTGAAAGCCTTTTAGCTTCTGAGAATCATTTTCTATTTAAGTTGAGTATTGCGTCTAGAAATTGTGATAAGCCACCGGTGATCCATTCAGAATGGGCGGGCATTGGCCTTAGTATGCATAGATGATTTCCAGTTCAATTTCATTTCGTATGCATAGATGATTTCCAGTTCAATTTCATTTCCAGGCTACATTAGAATGCTACAAATCTAGCCTGGAAAAATTTGTCAGCTTTTGTAGTGTTTCCAGAAGACTTTTCAAAGAACAGTAAGGTCAAGTTGAAAGTAGCCTTACAGTGAGAAATACAAACAGGACAAATAGGAGGGTGTGTAGATATAATCTGAGTATAAAATCAACTGATTTGTATTCCCTGATTATCTCATTTGATCTCTCACCTCACTTTTGCATCAACTTTTGAACTAAGTCTGTAAGTTCTTCCTCAAATAAAAGATGAATAAATACATTTCATTTTCATTATCCTAAAGGACCCTAAACCTTTTCTCCAAACTTGTACTGATAATATACACCTGGGGTTCATTCATCCTGTTACTTGATACGCTATGAAGATAAGTAGGTTACAGACTTTCTGTAGAAATCAATTCTATATGCAGATCATTTCTGTAGTGGTGCACAATAAGATAAGACATGCTTCTAATCCACAGTGGAACCATGCACAAAAGGGAGAGCTGTTTATGGTCACCAGAACTGCCCCCATCTATTAATAATGATGAAAATAATAATAGCCGACAATTACTGGGCATTTACTGTATGTCACAGCTTGTCATAAGCTCTTTAAGTAGAAGTTAATACAACAACTTTAGGAACTAGGATGACACATTAGGAAGCTGAGACATATAGGGTTTCAGTAAGTTGTTCAGGTTACTCACGTTTTGAAAGCAAGATTCCAACTGGAAACGTTGGTCTTGAGAGCCTAAGTTCTCAACCACTACATCTAGCCCTATATATTGGGAGCAGATAGTTTCAATTTCAATACAGTTAATCTATTTTTAGATAATGTTAATCTGTTTTTAAAAACCTATCAGTTGCAAACAGCTAAAGGTCATCCTATGCCATTTGCATTTTTATACAGGGTCACCGAGTGAGATATATATGATATATATATTACATATATATGTGAGATCTATATATAAAAGATTCATATTTTGTGATGTATTTGACATATGAATATATGTCAAATATATTTGAGATATATATATTTATATATGATATATACATTTATCTCATATATGAGATCTATATATAAAAGATTTGGCCTGACGCGGTGGCTCACCCCTGTAATCCCAGCACTTTGGGAGGCCGAGGAGGGCGGATCACGAGGTCGGGAGATGGAGACCATCCTGGCTAACACGGTGAAACCCTGTCTCTACTAAAAACAAAAAAAAATTAGCCGGGCATGGTGGCGGGTGCCTGTAGTCCCAGCTACTCAGGAGGCTGAGGCAGGAGAATGGTGTGAACCTGGGAGGTGGAGCTTGCAGTGAGCTGAGATCGCGCCACTGTGCTCCAGCCTGGGTGACAGAGCGAGACTCTGTCTCAAAAAAAAAAAAAAAAAGAAAAATTCATATTTTGTTTTTGACTAAATATATGTCAAATATGTTTGTCATGTATTCATATATATTTGTCAAATATACATATTTGACATATTCGTATATATTTGACTATAAATCTGATTTGGGTAACTTCGTTACTTAGTAGAAACAAATAAGTAACCTATAGTGTTTAAAGTACTTAATGGAGAGTAAAAAACTTTAACTTTTATATATGCCTCCCTGGACTTTAGATTCCTCATCTATAAATGAGAGAGATTGACTTCAAATATCCCTAGAATACAATGGCCCTAAAATTGCTTTTATAATCTACCTCAATTGCCTACATACATTTCCTGTGCCTTTTTTTATAAGGTTTTTATAAGAGGTTTTTTTTTTTACAGATTTATAGTAGTACATAATATATTAAATAGTATAATTGTGTGTGGTATATGTTAAATGTGTATATTTCCCATATTATTGTTAGTATTTATTTTGTGCTTTTTTGCCATTTAGAAATTTAAGTAATTTTGTATGGTCAGGTTTATCATTTATTTTCCTTAAGTCTTCTGATTGTCCTGTGTTGTATTTCAACAGATGTTTCAAATATAAAATATTAAAATTAATTACCCTCTTCTACTTTATGGATTGAAATTTTTACCATTTTAATCTTTTATACATTCAGAATGTTTTATGCAATATGTAAATGAGAGCTCTATCTAGCTTTTGAGTAGCTAGCCAGTTATCCCAATATCATTTAAAGTTTCTAGCTCCTTCCCAAGTGATTACCATTAAGAAAATACAACCTTGATCATAAATTCTGTTCCCTCATGAACCTAAGTCACTTTATAAATCCTTCATTCTGTCCCATGGAACTGTTTCTTTATCCCAGCACTAGCATCATAGTGAATAGTAAATAGAAAAGATCTTCATCTTTACTTATAGTGAAAGAAAAGCAAATTAAGGTAACATTGAGATTTTTCTATCAGATAGACAAAGATTTATACTTTTAATAAAACAAGTGTTGGTTATAATGTCAAAGCCAGTCACACCAAAAATTTTGATGAAAATAAAAATTGTGCAATGAGGCAGCATCCGTAAGTAATGTAAATGTTCATGCTGTAACCTCACAGTGATTTGAGGTCCTGCTGGGTATTCCCAAGATCCTTTCAAGGGATTTGTGAGGTTAAGGTGCTCCTCATAATACTAAGACATCATTTGCCTGTTATTTTTTTTCCTCTGTAAACATTTGCATTGAAATTTCAAAAGCAATGATGGTAAAATGGCTGTGACTTTTAAAAGGAATGAAGGCAATGTCAACAAATTAAACTAATAGTCATTTTTCTTCATCATACAGTTTCATACACAGACACAGTTTCACTCATAATATCCTTGATGAAACACTAAAAATTATCTTATTAAAACTTGACTCTGGAGTACTTTGTTGTAATATTTTATGTGATGAAATATGAGGTACGCATTAAGCACCTCTGTTGCTTACAGAAGTATGATGGTTGTTTTGAGAAAAAAAAAAAAAAAAAAAAGCACTGATATTAACTGGCCTAGCCGCTTATTCCATGCAACATCATTTTTACTAGAAAGAATGATTGACAAACTATGGTTATGCTGACATGAATATTGGAGAGACACTTTTTCTAAAATGAACAAAGCAAATCTGTCCCTTCAAGGAAAATAACTGATGCTATTTGTTGCCAATGATAAGATTTGAGCTTTCAAGCAAAAATTAGAATTTTGGAAAATTATATCTATGACCAAGAGCATGACAGCTTTCCAGTCCGGTAAAGGCTTTTCTGTGGTGATATTAACAAATATGAGTTTTTTTCATATTACATAATGAAGCGTGTAAACGTTTGGAAAACCTTATTAACCCAGGAAACCAGTATTTTCCAAATACCCATGAATGTGGTAAGAAGACCATTTCAAATGCAAAACACACAACTGCATTTTATTGTAACTGAGTATAAAAAATTAATTTGATTTCAGATTTCACATTGCAACTAACCTTTAAGAAACTTCCATTCATCAAGTTTTGGTGTACCATCAAAGAAAAATAACCACAGTTTTCCAAAAAGGCTGCTTAAGCATCTCTCCTTTCCAACTTTCTAGCTATGCAAAGCTGGATTTTCTTCATCTACTTCACTAACATCAATACATTGAATGCAGAAGCAGATATCATGATTCCGTTGTCTTCTGTTAAGTCAGACATTAAGAAGATTTGCCAATGTTTAAATGATGCCACTCCTCATTTTTTTCTAAGACTATGTTAACATGTGCCACGGTTGTTATTTTGAATAAATTAGCCAATAAATAATTTTTAAGTCTCAATTTTATAAAGCAGCAAATATTGATAGACATACCCTATATTTTAATAGGCTCCTTGCTCTTCTCAATAACTGATGAATGTAATAACGTGTAACTCAGGAATTTATAAAACTGCAAAAGGGTCCTCAGAGTTTTTTTTTAAATTAAGGTCTACTGAGTTAGAAAATTACTAATAAAAAAATCACCTCAGATGAGTGCATAAAATTGAAAATGAACTAGTAACTGGTAAATATTTGACATTTTTTCTTTTTCCCAGTGGAAACTTTTACTGTGGTTATTTTAATCCTGCCCCACAGGTCTACACTGGGTGCAAAGAGAAGATAATCTTGTCTTTTGTTTTATAGTTGACTAGAACCAGAAGATACCTTAGGATAGAAGAATGAGTATATTTAACATGTAGGGACATTTTGCCCAAGGATAGACTGGCAGCAGAGGCTACCAGTTGTCTTCTAGTATCTGTGAGGTATCTCCCAATATCCTACTTTCTCAACAATGAAGTCCATAAACTCAAACTGGGCAAATGGACTGCCAAAAATATGTTATTTGTCAACCATTTCTGGAGCTAGATATGACCCGGGAATGTAAGCAAGATGGTAGCATAAATTCTGTAAATCTGGAATGTGGATGTGATACGTAGCTATCTTGCAAAATGAGGTGGAAACTACTTGTTAAAGATGGTAGCACATAAAAGGAGCTTGGGTCCCTAAGGATAATAGAGCCACCACATTAATCATGGTCTGCCAATATTTATGTGAGAGGGAAATAAACTTCTGACTTGAAATTTATCTACCATGAATGACTTGATACATAAATGATGTGAAACTTATCTACTGTAATTTGAGATTTTCTGTTATGACTAATCTTAATTTTTAGTGAGAAGTGACTCAGCCGTCCTGTTAGAGAAATGGAACTCTATTTTCTTTGCTTATTTGTTATCTTTTCCTAGTGTCAGTGCTATTACATACTACTAGCATAACCAGGGGAGTTTTTCAACATAGTAGATTATGTTGGCATTCAGCAAATATCCCAAAGTATGGTGCTTTGGCATGCTGAGTGCTTTGAACCAAAGGAGAACCAAGTTCTGTCTGATTATTTCATTTGCGCCTGTCTCTTGCTCCTCTTTCTTTCCTGAAGTGTAAGGTGGGGGGTTCTCTAAAGTTCCCTTATCTGTCAAATGATAGATCCTCAATTTTCACAAACCCGCTCCCCAGGAATCTCATTAACCAGGGAAGGGTGAGTCCAGGGAGAAGAAACTCCATGCCCAGACAGACGTTGTCACAGGCTGTCACCTATTCTTTCCATGGGCTCCTCTCATACCTGAAAGACTTTTCTATGCATAACAAGACAATCTTGTTCGCCATGCATGTTCTCCCCTCCCCCTTGCATAACTTGTGTCACTGTCACCACCACAAGGGCCCCGAACTCCTACTCCTTGCTGTACCTCGAGATATTATATAACTTCAGTCATCTGGCCCTTCTTTGAGTCTCAAATGTTGTGGCGCTCCTATGCGTATGCACATAATTAAAATGATTTTTCTCCGGTTAATCTGTTTACTGTCAGGTTATTTCACAGACTCAATTATCAAACCTTCTGAGAGTAGAAGGAAAGTTTTTCTCTCCCTTACAATTATTATTGAAGGTGAGAGTGAAAACCCAATTTTTGGGGGAATATTTGGTAATTTATTTCTAAAGGACATGTCCAGAAATGTCCTAATATTTTTTAACTGGCTGGAAGATTTCAGAACTAATACACACACACACACACACACACACACACACACACACACACACACTTATTTTGCTTGATTAAATAAAGCAAAATACTTTATAAGTTAATGATTACTCATTACTCTAGCAGTAACTAAACTAAAATTACAGCACAGGAACTGAGCTAGGTATGATTTCTTCACCATAAAACTGTGAAAGAAAAATAAATCTCAGAACCCCAAAATCACTAAGCCAAGGGAAAAGTCAAGCTGGGAACTACATCAGGCAAATCTGCCTCCCATTTTAACTCCTAAATAAGATAGCTAAAAAGAAAAAAGAGCTACATACCTCCCTCACAATTTATTCTCAAGGAAATTCCTTATGGGCCTCAAGATCTTTGCCTTAAAACAGTTGTATTGAATTTCATCCTGGCCATGTAAACTAATAGCCTCTCTTCACAGGTGTAGGACAGAAAGTCATCCCTCTGCTCTCCTGAGACAAATACATACCTGATTGCTTTCTCTGCCCTATTGTTTATGTTAAAAATGCAGATTCACTGAGCCAGACTAAATTGTGTCTTCAGTGAAAGGCTGATCAAGGACTCAAAAGAATGCAACCTCTTTTATCTCTTATCTACCTATGACCTGAAACACCACCTCCTCACCTTTGAGTTGGCCTGCTTTACTGGACTGAACCAATGTACATCTTGTACGTATTGATTAATATGTCTCCCTAAAATGTATAAAAGCAATCTGTACCCTGACCACCTTGGGCACACATCCTTAGGACTTCCTGAGGCTGTGTCATGACTGGGTCCTTAATCTTGGCAAAATAAACTTCCTAAATTGGTTGAGACCTGTCTCAGATATTTTAGGTTCACAAATAGTCTATAAAACGTATCATTAGAAGATATCTGGCCGGGTGTGATAGCTCACGTCTGTAATCCCAGCACTTTGGGAAGCCAAGGCAGGTGGATCACCTGAGGTCAGGAGTTCGAGACCAGCCTGGCCAACGTGGTGAAATCCCATCTCTACTAAAAATACAAAAAATTAGCTGGTTGTGGTGGCAGGCACCTGTAATCCCAGCTACTTGGGAGGCTGAAGCAGGAGAATCCCTTGAATGCAGGAGGGAGAGGTTGCAGTAAGCCAAGATTGAGCCATTGCACTCCAGCCTGGGCAACAAGAGTAAAACTTAGTCTCAAAAAAAAAAAAAAAAAAGTATCTGAGTAAAACACAACTCAACTCATTCTTTTTTCCAGATGAAGATGCTTAGAGCCAAAAGGAGAGAAACACATGATCACAAATTTATTTATAAACCATTGACATGTAAAAGTACCAATTATTAATTTTTTAGCACACTGTAAGCAGTAAGACTCACATAGGATACTGATGGCATTTTCTTTCTTTCTCTCTCTCTTTTCTTTCTTTCCTTCTTTCTTCCCTTCTTTCTTCTTTTCTATCTTATCTTGTTTTTTTTTTCATTGCTCAAGCCCCTACTGCCTTTGTCAGCAGAAGAAAACAGCAGCTTTCCTTCTGAAATGTTGTAGAATTACATGAACAGACTTAGTTCAAAGCGGTAGTAAGATGAGCAAACCTGATCAACTCATTCACTGATGCCACTTTTTCTCTCTTCTCTCTTCTCTCTTTGACACACAGATGTTTTCTTTGATGTATAGCTTTTCCATGAGGATTGTAATGATATCGGTTTACTTAAAAACGCTGAAATTTAATGGCAAATCACATCTGAAAATGCAAAATTTTGTATTATGTTTAGTAAAACATAAGGAAAAAATTCATTTATTTTTATTTAATGCAAAGATAGTTATTTGATTCTTCATTAACAATAAGATAAAAAATTTAGATTTTGCTTTAAGGCTGATTTTAGGAGTCTCTGGAACCTTCTGAGATCTATCTTAGCTAATTTTCCTAAATGATGTCTTTCTAAGTGATTGCTTTACCAAAAAAAAACCCTACTTATGTACACAATCCTTTCAGTAGATGACAGTTATACTTTAATTTAATTCATTGTATCTCTGCCCACAACACTGATCTTTTGTCTATTTCTGTGCAAGGTAACTTATTTTGATATTTTATATCATGAATCACTATAAGAATTTAATTAAATTGATATATTAACTGTGCTGTAATTGCCACTGAAGTATTGTGAATGTCAGGCTACTCTGCTCTCATCCCAAATCATGACTGGAAATAAAATACTGCAACTCAGATTATTTTCTTTATCAAGAGAGGTATACAAAAATATATAAGCCAGAGATATCCATTTTGACCCAGGATCTGGAATTAGAGGTTTACCTGGTTTTTTAGATAGAAATGATACATATTTTACAAATATTTGATTAATAACATGTAAGTATTTCTTTCAATCTGTTCTGTTTCCATGCTTAGTGTTCTTCCGTGTTCATGACCTGATCATTAATAAATTGCCTGTCATTATTAATACTGCTCACTTTTTGACAATTTATTCAGCTTTTAAAAAATATAGATTAGTTCTATTTCAGTTTTCACTGAGAAGATTATTTTCAAAATCTTTAATTCACTTTAAAAGCTTCATACTACATGTAATCAACATAAAATTTTTATAAAAATAAAATGCCCAATTTAGGAAAGTCATCACATATGAAAATATAGTAGCTATGATTGTGCACCTAGAGGTATTTATCAATGTGGCAGCATAGATACAACATAATAAAATTCTAACTGAGCCAGAATAATTAAGATAATTAAACTTGCATTTAATAGAAGAGAGCATGTTCATACAGTATTAATGCTTTGGCTGAAACAGTAACATTTTATCTTGCTTAATAAATGTAAGTTTAAGTATTTTGAATATTTAATATTTTGTTGTATTCAAAATTTATACCTTTGCAATCAGATACAAACACAAAACCAAAATTCACAATAAGTCATATTAGCTTGAATCAACTATCCTATATTAAAATTCATATTGACATACTTATATCCAAAATTAATTCCTTCCAAAAATAAATGGAATACAATAATTTAGACATTAATAAGCATTAATATATAAAAAGTTTTAATTAACCCTTTAATAGCTTAAAACCATTTACTGTCTTAAAATTTTAGTTGACATTTTCCTCTTCAACTTTATGACAGGCCTTATTAATCTGATGATATTTTCTCTATCTTGACACCCAAAACAGTGAATTAACAGCTTTGTAAATAAATATTTGGGCATAAATGAAACACTAGATTGATGACTAAATACTAAAAATACATTTTTTGCGTTTGAAGTTCTATGAGAATAATCTATTTTTAGTATAGAAATCTATTTTTTAAATTATTTTGGAATTCTTTTGTAAATTCTAATAAAGTTTGTCATTTAGAACAGTTTTAGATTTACAGAAAGATTGTGAAGATAGTACAGAGTTCCTACATATCCCACATCCAGTTTCCTCTATTTTTAATATCTTACATTGGTATGATCACAATGAATAACACTGAAACCTTATTATTAACTCATGTCCATCCTTTATTTTTCAGATTTCCTTAGTTTTTACTGAATGCTCTTTTTTCACTCGAGGATCTCTTCCAGGATACCATATTACTAGTTGTCTTTACTTCCTAACTCCTCTGGGCAGTGTTGGAGCTCAGAAAACAATACCCCAAAATGAAAGCCTCAGAATCAACTCAGAAGCAAAAATTTTTCTCTGCCCTCCTTCCCTCTTGTCTCTCAGCCCCATTCTCCCTAAGGCTACCTATATAGAAACTAGAATCTCTCTTCACCAAGTCAGGTCTTAGAAACCAGAACCTCTTATCCCCAGAGTCAACCAAAATACCTAAAAATACTACTCCAATTATCCCTCCTCATTTTTGTCTAAAAACTGGCCATATAAAAGTTATCTTTTTAAGATCAAACTATCTTGTTTGACTGTAGTTCACAAGACTCCTTTTCCAGTGAGGGTCCAGCCCATCACCCAGAAGGAAGGAATGAATGCTCAGGCCAAGAAGAATCCAGACAGTCAGCCTTACTGGGTTCCCCACTCAGTCTCTTAGGATTAGATCATACCATTTTTTGTCCAGTCATATTTCTACATGGCTGTCCATATGTTGTTGAACCTAAGCATAAAAATGGACAATTTCCCCTGAATCTCTGGGTCTTCAATCTGAAGGCTCCCATGTATGCACATTAAATAAATTTGTATACCTTTTCTCCTATTAATCTGCTTCATGTCAGTGATTTTCAGTGACACTTCAGAGGGCCAAGCCCTCAGTTCCTACATCAAGCATTCCTTGTTTTGTATGACCTTGACTGGTCTGGGTAGTACTGATCAGGTGTTTTACATAATGCTACTCTAGAAGTATCTGTTTGATATTTTTCTTATGATTAGACTAGAGTTACATGTTTTGGGGAGACCACAAAAGTAAAGTGCCATTTCCATCACGTCATATCAAGGATAGATAATATCAATGTGATTTATTATTGTTGATATTGACCTTGATTACCTAGCTTAGGTAGTATTTGTCAGTTTTCTCCATTGCAAAGTTACTGTGTTTCTCCATTTTATTTTATACTGTGAAAGGAAGTCACTATGTGTGGCCCAAACTTGAGTTGAGAGTTATGTTCCACCTACTTAAAGGCAGAGTATTTACAGAAATTCCTTGGAATTTTTTTGCATGGAAGACATATCTATTCTTCTCTATGTATTTATTTAATCATTTATTTATATTAGTATGCAGGAAAGTTTAATTTTAAATCAGTAATATCTAGCACCAATGATAACTATTTTAAAAGGACAGACCATTCAAAATTTCTTACGTTTCAACAGGCAATATGATTTTTCAGTTCTAGAATATGGTTTACCAAGGAATGGGACTATTACAAACTAACGCCATACTATATTTTTTAAAAAGTCTTACGCTCCCTTTCTGTTGATTTTCCCTTTCATTTTTGAACAACATGTATCTTTACCAGCAAAAGAAATAAATTAAAAAATCCACCCTCAGTTCCTTCTTGGAAATCTTTCAGAAAAGGCAGTTGGTGAAAGCCAATTTTACCTAAGTGTAACTTCATTTTCTCTCTTCTTGACCAATATATTCAGTTTTTCTCCTTTCAGTAGAACTATATATTTACTTTATTTACTCTTTATTTGTGGAGCCTTTAACATGTGTTCAGTGCTGAGTGTAATAGGTAAGTTTGCTATGTTTGGTTCTCATATAACATTTATCATAACTAACTTTGGTTCATTCATAGTTAAATTGAGGAAAGAAGAGATTATAGTCAAATCTATTGCATGTTTTTAATTATGTGGCCACTAGAAAGTACTTCACTTTCCTCATTTCTTTTTACATTTGTGTCAGGCACCCTAGTTCAAATACTACATATCTTCCAGAAGACTATAGAATGTTCAGTTCTGGACTCTAAAAGATCATGAAAATCATAACTAGCCAGTTACAGTCATCTGGACAGAAATCTAGAGAATTTTCTTAGTAAGGCACAGATATTCCAATATTCCTCAATCATAATAGAGTGGTATGAATTCAGACTTCAGTATTATTTGCACATGTAAAAGTCTGACATATGTATAATAAGGGAAAGGTAATGCAATCCTTTGAGATATGCTTGCATCTTGGATATATTTGTAGCCTTCACAAAAAAAGGGAGCTATAAGTGATCGTATGTGTTTGCCACCAGAGACCCCTATTTTCTCAGATAGCAATTCAATTCAAATTTTCCATATGTTAACAAATAATTTCTTTTTAAAAAATGAGGTAAGGGTCTTCTGATTCTTGGCCAAAAAAAAAGTCCTATATTAAAAATTTATGTTCACTCCTATTTAAGAATGTACAAAATCATGCTGTGACATATGGTTATTAATAGAGACTTATACTTCCAAGAGTATTCAACCACAGTTTTTATGAAGATGAATAAATGTAGTATTTCCTGCACTTCAATGTTATTCAAAAATTAGCCATCAACCATTGGGTGAACCAGTCTGCAGCAAATGTAGATCAAATTGAAAATTCAAGTGTAATAAAACTCCAGAAAGATCCCACTAGGGCAAAATATTTGTAAATCAAATTTCACTGCACGTTGTTGAGCCCAAATATTTTGCTTTTGAAAATACTATTTTATATTAATTTCCTGATCAGAAGTGTTATTCCCCAATGCTACTAGGTCTATATAGCACAATCTTATTTGGTTGTCTTTGAAATTTTGTGTGATTTGAATATGTAAGTGTTTCTTTTACTTATAGTAGTTCTATAGCCTTGTGTATCACTTTCTTTAGAAAAATATCTTATTAGGTATCTAGGTTAAGAAAGTATCAAAATAATAATATTAAAAACATTTGACATTTGAAGAATTAAGCTGAATTGCATAGAGTATCAAATGAAGAAGAAAATACTTTACCTAAATACCCATGAAATCATTAATAAAATATTGCGGATGGATAGAAAACCACAGTTTCTAATTTTTATTTCAAGATCTGTTAACTAAATAATGATATACTTCTTACCTATAGTAATGTGAGTAATGTAATTTTATAGATTGCATGTAACGAATCAAATGGCAATAACAGCTATTTACATATTCTTGAGCTAGCCTATGTTTAAATAAATATTTTCTACACTGTTTTGAAGTCATTCACTTAGGTTAATTTGTAAAGGAAGCAGTCTTGAATCAGGGTATGATTAGGAAATATAATATCTACTATCTAAATGCTGATGTTTGTTTCATTTTAAAATTTTTATGTAGTGTATCCCTAATTATAGCCACAAAGAGAGAACAGTGTACTCATCAAACAAAGACTATCATTCTATGGGACAGAATAGAGCCAGCAAGTTGACTTCTGTGAATTATGCAAATAGAAGAGTAGAGAACAACTAGGGCCTAGTAAGCAAACCCTATTCAGAAGGAAAAGGGGAGTGGGAAAAAGACTCCACCCTGATAATTATTAAAGTTGGGAGGACACTTATTCCCATGGTGCATCTCAGGGAGAACTAGTTTGTTTTGGCTTACCTCCTCAAGTGGAAATTTAAGTGTGAATTTAAAAATGGCATGCTGAGTTTGAGGAGCAGCTTTTTCCCTCTTTGCTGAAGAGTAGCATTGGGTAGGGGCAATATGTCATTGATTTTGAAGTTCTGATACACTTTTTATACGCTTTTGGTGAATAGTAAGTAGTTTAACGCTGTTTACAATAGAAACTTTATGAATAACATTAATAAATAGAATGTTTGCACTGCTGCTCCTCTAACTTGACAGCATGTCACCACCTGCCCCTTAATACCTTTGATTAACACAAAACTAAAGTCCTTATTAAGGAATAGAGATAGCAAATTTATTCTCAAAGGAAACATTTGTACACATGTGAACTTATTGTACATATGTCAGATTTCTAAATTAATATATGTAAGGTTCATAGTGTTTTGGAGATTTGAAAGATGTCATATTGATGAAATCTTTCTAGAAAGTGCTACGTTTCATAATAACACTTGGCAAAATAAAATTTAATAGAGTTATTAGAAAATGGTCAGTTCAAAGTAGATAAGTCTGGATAATAAGAATAGCAAAGCCATTCCTAGAAACTCATGCCTATACTACAGGTGTGGTACACTCAATTTATAGACCATGTGACATCTAAATTTCCCACTGATGATCTATGTAATGTAATAAAAATGATAGTTAATGAGTTTCTGGAATCCATGAATAAAAAATCATGACTAAGCTTTTGGAATGACAGAGTCAAAATCTAAATGACTTTTGTGAAAGGTAAAAGGCAAATGAAATGTTTTTCTGTAAATATATGTGAGAAAAATCAAACATTTAACGTAAGATAGGAGATGAAAAAAAGAAGGGGAGGGGAAGGAAAAATATACCTACTGTATGGAGTATTCACTGTGTGTCAAGCTGAAAGGATTTTATACACCTAATTTCTAATCCTCGTAACAGCACTACAAGTTCAGTGTGATACTCCTTTTTTTAATAGAGTAGTAAAGAGTGACTCAAAGGAAGTTAATTCATCCAGGAAAGGACAAGCTTCCACCTCTGTTGGGTCTGAATGCAGGTATATTTGAGAATTTAGCTGATCGTGCTCTCATAAGAATTCAACTCTTTCTCCTCAGTAAGTATAATTTGGTGAATAAACCAATATTAATGTAAAAATAGTGAAACAGTTTTTCCACTAACGTTAGACCAGAGTTTTAACTGTATGGAGTTCTTAGTTCTAATCTCAGCAATTCAGAAAAATATGGAAAGATACATAAAGGATTCAGAAGAATATTCAAAAAACAGAGAAATGATAAAGGATTATTGAAGAGAAATTTAAATCATAGGAACTGTGTTGCCTCTATAAGATCTGAGTTCATAATGTTCTTTCATAATAGCAGTAAACTCCAGTACTTTAATTCCAAAATATGTGATATTCCACACATGACTTCTACAGACCTTTGTCTTAGGGAAGATATGAGTTTGCACAAGATAGAGTAAGAAGAAAGCTCTCCAGTTCTTGAAGCCTAGATACACCTGAGAAATTGATTAGCAGCTCACAACACTGTGGTCCATGTGGACAGCAATGGAGAAAATTCTTTGAGCGCTGTTGGCATGTTACTCTGTCTCTAATGGAAGCAAATTATATACTTTCTAAAGTGACAGTATCATTCTAGTAACGTGCAGATAAAGTGTTCCAGTGAAATCTAATAGTTCGTACTTGCCAGAATCATTATTAAAATAATTGCTTCCTCCTACCATTTTTTTCCTTTTTTGGGAAAAGTGCTACTTCATGTGGCAGTCAGTTTTTAAAAACAAGGTAACAAACTATAGCAGGAAACAGAAACTACAAAGGCAGTGCTTCCCTCTCTTTAATAATTCTAACATATGCCTGCTAAAATAACACTGTGTCCTGGAAAGCAGCCTTTTAATAGAACGTTTGTGGATAATTGAACTCCTGCTCATTGTTCAAAAGGTCATGAGGTTCCAGTGAGCCCTTTTTCTTTTGGTAAATTATTCAGCTTGAGTATTTATTGGCCTGTCAAAAGGAAAGTATTGTATGAACTGTCTTTGTCGCTCTTCAGTGTTTCCTAATTTGATTGTGTTCCTTTCTGTGCATAACGCCAGCAGAAAATTTCCATTTCTTCTTCTCAAATTCCAGTACATCTTTGCTGTTTGCTATATAGATCAGCCTCATAGATCAAATAGACATAAATTAAGTCAATGGAAAAGAATTATAATGCTGATTGAATGCAGAGTTTTGTTTGATTTGTGTTCCAGGCCTGATCAGATCATTGTTTTTATTAATATTATTTCAGAGCATTCCTTTAAAGGAATCTACAATAGAAAGAATGGGGCAAATTTTAAGGGAATTGCTAGTATTAGGTTATCTATAGTCATCTATATTACAATAAAAGCAGTATTCCACATCCTTGATCTTACAAACTTAGTGCCTGCACGATATCTACACACTTTACTGTAGTCGATATATCAATAAACCCCAGTTCTGAACAAAATTTGGGGCAAATTGGGTATTTCCAGTGCTTGTACATCTAATCTTACTGTCGATACTTGTTGGCCCTTCTGTACTATTTTCTGTATCCAAAGCTAGCTGAAGGAGAATTACTTAGGTCAAGATAAAGAGGGTCACAAGAAAACAAAGGGTAGCTGAATTTCAGAAAATATATCCCATATACTGCTCTCATTTTCTTCTGACCACTGCGATCCTTATACAAAACACCTACGATTTTTGCTTGCTTTCAGATGACATGGGATAGTCTCTTCTGAATGCTCTTCTTTTTCTAAGTGAAAAGCTCTCTCTTCCTATGGACAGAAATTGATCACGTTGGGTATGCCTGGACTAGATGTCACTTTAGTTCTTCATTTAACTTTTACAACAGTCATATGGGTTAAACTTCTTACAGATGAAAAAGCAAAGATACACAGAATTAGTTCATTTTCCAAAGATACCATTTCTCATAGATGACAGGGCTGTGATTTGAACCCAGATTTGAATGACACCAAAGTTCAGACTCTAATTTATTTCCACGCCACATGAAGGAAGGGTTGCTTTAAGACTTAGTGAAACTGGATAGGAAGCATTAGGTTCTAAAGAGTCAGTCAAGACATGAGATACCACTGATTCAATCCATCTAGTAGGTATTGACTCCTGTGATAGCACAAAGCTCACCAAATGCCAACTCCTAATTCTAGTTCCCTTACCCTTGTTCATTATTCAAGTCCGCTCTTTCCCCTACCCTCCGATTTAGTCTTCTGTTTCTTTGTCTAATGGCTATTAACTTGGCTGGGTTCCTGACTTCATTCCCTCTTTGCTTCTCAGGTTCTATATTCTCGAGCCCTTGGCTACCTGGATTCCTCTTTACTACTTAGCTAGAATAGTCACAAAGAGCTGTGCACATCCAACGAAGTGTTCATACACTTCCTTGGCATTTCAAGTGCTGGAGTTGACCCATTAAGGCCTAATACTCATTAATCAGAAAACTTCTGCCTGGACTCAGCCAAATCTAAGTTGCTGAAATTGCAAATATAATCTGCAATGTGTTTCCAAACCTATGGTTGGCAACATTTTACTCTAAAAACCTCAAAACGCATGTTGTAGGTATTCTAGTTAATCTGGAAACCAGCCCCACATGGTGTAAAATTATATGTTTAACAGTTGTCATTTTTTTCCCTGGGCTGCCCTCTTTTTACTGGATTCCCATCTCTTCTCCCTTGGTACTTCTAAATTATGAACCTATGCAGTGGAATATCCTTTGGGCTTTCTGATTCTGACTTGGTTTACTAAACTTCACCTATTCTCCCGAGATCCCTGGCTTTGAATAAGCAATGTAATTCTAATTTCTGCTGAGTCAAAACTCCCTTTTTATTCTGGCTATCTATCGCTACAAAGTACTTCAAAAATTAGAATATTAAAAACAACCATTTTTATTTTTCCTTGTGATTTTGTACATTGGGAATCTGGGGAGAGTTTGGTTTCGATTGTACTGTTTTGCCAGACATCCCTCGTTAGCTTTCAGCTAGTAGATGGGCTGTCTGGAAGGTCTAGGATAGCCTCACTGAGAGTCTGTTGCCTTTGTAGCTTTGGCTGCAAGGCAGAGATCAGCCAGGACTGGTGATCAGAGTGTCTGCTCATGCCCTCGCTAGCAAGAGGTTCTCAGTGTATTTGAACTTCTAAAGTGGAGAATCACAGCTCCTAGAGAGAATGTTCCCAAGAGATATGAAGCAAAAGCTGCCTGTTTCTCATATCCTGGGCCCTGAAACTGCATTTCAGTGTCATTTCTGCTGGTGTCTGTTGTTCAGAGTGGCATAAGCTCACTCAGATTCAAGAGGAAGGGACATATATCCAATTTCTTAATGGGATGAATATCACAACTTTTGTGGCTATATTTACTCTGCCTTACTTCCTATATCCTGTGTCTGTTTTCCTCCCAATCTTGGTCTATGTGTTTCTACTCTAGGCCTGCAATCTAGACTCAGTTCATAGTAATTGATAAAATCCCTTAGTTCTAGTTTAATTGTATTCATTCATTTATTAATGAACCTTTTTAGAACAGATTTTGTGGTTGGTTATTACTGTACAAAGCAGTACAAAAAAGTAATTTTCAAAATATGGATTTTGTTGCCTGGCTTTTAATCCTGCATCCTCCATTTGTAAACTGCAAAATCTTAAGCAACTTACTTGTGCCTCAATTTCCTCTTTCGTAAAATGTAGATTATAATGCCTATATTATGTGGATATTGTAAACATCAAGTGGGACAATGTATACAAAATACTAAGCATAGTGTCTTGTACACAAAAGCAGTCTAGTAAAATAGAATAGTGGCTATGATTAGTAGCTGATATGGTTTGGCTGTGTCCCCACCCAAATCTCATCTTCAGTAGTAGTTCCCATAATCCCCATATGTCATGGGATGGACCTGGTGGAAAGTAATTGAATCATGGGGGTGGCTTCCCCCATGCTATTCTCATGATAGTAAGTAAGTTCTCAGGAGATCTGATGGTTTTATAAGGGGCTTCCCCCTTCACTCTGCTCCCATTCTTTTTCTTGCCACCTTGTGAAGAAGGATGTGTTTGCTTCCCCTTCCGCCATGATTGTTAAGTTTCCCAAGGCCTCCTCAGCCATGCTGAACTCTGAGTCAACTAAACTTTCCTTTATAAATTACCCAGTCTCGGGTATGTCCTTATAGCAGCATGAGAATGGACTGATAACAATAGCTATCACTATCACTTACTATGTGAACCTGAATTAGCCACTTAATATCTCTGGACCTCCTCTTTTATATATAGCTTCTTATTCTGTATAATTAAAAAAACTGGATTGTTTTTTCTTATGGTTTATTACAGTGAAAGGATACAAATTAAAATTAGGAAAGGAAAAAGACACATGAAGAGAAGTTCAAGAGAAAGCAGGCAGAAGTTTCCAGGTATATCTTCTCAATGGAGTAAAAGAGGGACACATCATTAAGATAAGCTAATCTGGTCATATTGGCATAGTATGGCCCAAGGCCTGAGGCTCACAAAAACATTCATATCAGGTAGAATATTCCAAGGTGTTCAGAGATTATCTCCCAGGAGTGTGAAAAGAGGTCTTTCCTTAAATGTGCAGGCTTTGAGTAACTCAAGCCTGCTGAATTTACTCTTTCCTTGCCACAAACTAATATAAAATGTTAATAAAAGGGAAATTGGGTGCAGGGCATGTGGTACATCTGCATACTGTTCTCAAATTTTATGCAAATCTAAAATTGTAATTCTAAATCCAACTGGAGCAATAGATTATGTAAGTTGATAAATATCAGGCTTAAAGTATTTTAACACTTTTCTTCATCATTATTTGTTTATAATCAAAAGGGATTGCATCGTAAGGGATATTGTTTGCATTAGCCAATACATTGAAAATTGTTATTGTCTTTGTGATTGAATTTTTTCTCAGCAACACTTTATTCATAATAGTCAAAAAGTAGAAAAAAAATTCTAAATCTTCAATAACTTGTGGATAAATAAAATGGAAATGTTATTCAGCCATAAAAAGACTAAAGTACTGATACATGCTACAGCATGGACGAAACATGAAAACATTAAGCTAAGGGATAGCAGCCAGTCATATAGGACCAACATATTGTGTGGCTTATATGAAATGTCCAGAATAGGCAAATCTAGAGACAAAAAGTAGATTAGTAGTTGCCAGGGGAAATAGGATTGACTGAAAATGGGAATTATAAAAATATTCTAGAATTAGACAGTGGTGATTGCATAGTCTTGTGTATGTACTAAAATCATTGACTTGTGCACTTTTAGAAGGGTGAAACTTTAAAAATTATTTCTGTATATTGCATATGTAAAAATTATATTTCAATTATAAAATTATGTTTCAATTTTTAAAACATAGCTCTTACAAAATTTCAAGTTAAATTTTTGTAACCATATGCTCTGGTTTTTGTACACTAGATGGGAAGACATGTCCATTTTTTTTTTAAAAAATGTAATTCTAATCTAGTATACCCTTTATAAATCTTTAAGCTCCTTTCTTTCTTATTCCATTCCACACACACTACATGATATTTTATCATTATAACATATCATAAAGATTAAGAAATTAGGAACTCTTCCTTTTCGCAGATAGTCTAGCTTTGCTGCAGCAGTGAAATTCTTATTATGACTATCATAACTTAGTAGGTATTTTAACGTGAGGATAAAACAGATTGAGTAACCCAGTACTATAGACAAGAAATAGAATCCAATTGCTAGATTTCTACACCTCTCTTGTTTACAGCTTGATAAATTATTGCTATCATTAGTCAAGCAATAAATCTTGACCTAATTGAAAACAACATGTTTGAATTTTTCGGTTGCTTTTTTTTGTTTTGCATGATTACAGAATTGTGCGTAACCAGTGATATGATTATAATTACTCAATGTATGCAAGAAATCTGAACATTGTTTAATATAGAAAACATTGAAAACCTCCTTCTTTAATGGAATTTGATAACATATATTGTGTTGTGACAAACATGCTTTATTCCTCTAACAACAAAATTTGGATTATTTCCCTGAAGTGAAGTACAATATCTATGTATCTTGATTTAGGGATGGTTTCATTTCTAATCAATTATTTGTATCTTAATTTTTGCTGTCATCAAAAGAATCTATTGAAAAACTTTAAAAATTATTTCTGTATATTGCATATGTAAAATAGCCTTAATTGAGCAGCTTATCTTCCACTTGCAAATATGTGAAAATATCAGTATGTAAAAATAAAAAGAATTCTTTATCATTAGAAGGATGTACTTATTATTCTGAATGTCGTATGAAAAATCCTTTTTTGTTTTTAATTGTAGGAATCCAGTCCAAGCACCTCTGAACAACTGCGGTGTTCTAATCAAAACATGTTAGCTAGTAATATCACTTACATATAAGCAAAACAATGTTTATCTTTGCTTTCCGAATTCGGAATGTTAGGTTATCTTACCTGTTTAAACTTGTTTGGGAGAAGATACGGAGATTAAGCCTGTATATATATGTACATATGTTCATCTTCTCCCAGGCCTCTGAGCTTTTGGTTTTCTTATTTCTTAGAATCTAGGTTCTATTTGTAGAAGTAGATGCTGTACAGTAAAGAAAAAGGGTTAACCTTTGACTGTTTTGGTATGTTCCACCTACTATTCTTAAATCACAGGCAAATTATCATCTCTGCTCTCAGAAAAATAACATACACCAAACACCAAGCTCAGCAGGATTTTAAGTAGTCGAATATAACCATGTAAAACTGCTTTCACCAAATCATGACTTGATAATTGACATGGTGCTGGACTGCAGAAAAGACATGTTGTGTGTTCCTTTGGAAAAAGTTATCTGTGAATGTTCTGTTGCATTAAAAGATACTAAATAGTTGATCATGTAGTGATTAGTAACGCATGGTTAACAGCTAGTAAGAAGCAAGGTAGATTTTACTTTCAACTTTTTATTAATGTCACCTCCTCTGCTTAACTCTTTGAATCACCATCTCTGTTTATTCATTTTTCAGTCTGAAATTCACCAGAATGGCCCATTAAATTTTAGAATATATAAGGGCATAAATGAACTGCAAAATAAGAGTAGCTTTAACTTAAAGATTAAAGCGGAATGCAGTTTTTCCCCTAGATTTTAATTTTTGCTATATTTTTCCTTAAGGGTTAAAAGACTAAAAATATTGTAACAAGATACAATAATATGAAAAAAAAAAATCCTTGTTCTTCCTCCCCTGCCCTGTTAAATATCATATATTATTGGAAAAACGGTCAGTGTTAACAAACTTCAGCACCACGTGTGTGGGTGTGCGCATGCGCACACTGTTACACTAAACTGTATTCGTTATTAGGTAATTCAAGTAAATGGTTACATATCCATAGGTGTCCTGAGTAGCTTGAAATAATCTCCTTACCTCAGGATGGTGATTCTACATAGAAACCCATGGCAGGGGAAGCAGGAAACAACTTTCTTTTAAAGAAGAGAATGCATTAAAATAGTATAAAGCTAAATCAAATGGAACTGTTATGACAAACAGTTTGGGAAGTTAAATAATCTCCTTTTCCTATTTTAGACTTGTATAAGTTCAAAATAATCTTTAAGATATTCACACTAAATTGTTACCTATATAGTATCTTTTAATGCAAAAATATACAGTATAATTGAATATAATATCACTTTTATTGAATGCATGTCTTTCAATCTCTTTTAATAATCTCTTTTAATAAATGCTTACAAGGCTTTTGTTTTATGAGTTTTATTCCTCCTTGAGTTGAGAACACAGTTTCTTAAATTTGACCATGAACATTCCATTGAGAGACTGATGATAAATTCACACGTAGCCTCCCTTTAACTGACGGACTTAAACTTGATCCATGGATTTGCACCACGAACTTCAAAAGATGAATCACTGCTGTAGATGTGATGGCCTAATTCTTCCAAATGTGGCTCAGGATCAGTGGTAGCAAACTGGGCAGCATCATCAATTTCTTTCCTCACCTCAGCCCCAATTTCCTTTAATTCTTCCACAGTGGCGAGCTTGCTGTTTACCATTCTATCTTGGAGAATTATTATAGGATCCCTCTTACTTCTTACTTCCTGAATTTCTTCTCGTGTACGATAACTGACTCCAGGATCACTCATACTGTGTCCATGATAACGGTAGGTTTGCAGCTCCATCAGTATGGGCCCCTTTCCAGATCTACAGTAGTTAGCTGCAAATTTTGTTGCCTCACGAACACACAGAACATCCATTCCATCGACCTTTAGCCCAGGGATAAAATTGCCCCTCTTGTAGTAATCAGGGCTGGCTGCTGCTCTCTCAGTAGATGTTCCCATTCCATATAGGTTATTCTCACAGATGAAAACACAAGGTAATTTCCATAAAGCTGCCATATTGAAAGCTTCGGCTATCTGCCCCTGATTCGCAGCGCCATCCCCATATAAAGTCAAACAGATCTCATCGTTTCCTTTATATTTACAGGCCAGAGCAATGCCAGCGCCCAGGGGGCCCTGTGCACCGACGATGCCATTGCCCCCATAGAAGTTCTTGGTATACATATGCATCGATCCTCCTTTTCCTTTAGCACAACCTCCTCTTCTTCCCGTCAGCTCTGCGAGAATGGATCGGACAGAAAGTCCCCGAGTATAGCACACACCATGAGCCCTATAGGATGTAATGACGTGATCCGAGGGGTTTATGCCGGCCTCAAGGCCCACGCAACAAGCTTCCTGACCATCGCACAGGTGACAGAAACCGCGAATGAATTTCTGTTTGTACAGCTGATCTGCCTTCAATTCCATGCGGCGAACAGTCAGCATCATCCTGTAGTATTTAAGCCCCTCCGCCCTAGTGAGCACTGTAGTGACAGGGGGACCCTCTTCCAACAGATAAAGATCACATTTCTTAATTTCAAATGTAGCGTCATTTGAGGAGTTACGGGATGCCACCAGCACTCTGCGAGCTGATTTCTGGGCAACTCGCCTCAACACGCGGGAGATGAAGGCGGCCAGCATATTCTTCACGGAGTGCTGTAGATGGCAGCGGCGTCCCGTAACGACCGCCGGAAGGCCTGGCCTCGGCTCCGCGTCTCCTTCCGGTGCTCCAATGCGCTTGGCACCATCCGGGCAGTGCACACGGGTGATAGAGGCAGGTCCTGCACAGCACTGGGACATGGGCCACGCAGCCTGAGCTGACTGATTTGTACAGTGCCTGCCAGCTGTAAAATGAAGACTAAAAGTGATTTCCTTTTCTGGAGGACTTGGGCAAACTACAGGGCATCCTAATCGCCGTCATTGCTGAACCTCAATAATCTGAGTCCCTTTTCCCTGTTAAACCCTGGAGCACTGTATCTCAAGCTTTCCCGACAAGCGTATCAAATAGAAGAAAGGAACAAACTCAGTCCCTAAGGCACATGAGAGTTCTGAGAGTTAGTCCAAAGGTATTTCTTCCTACCAATATTTCTTTAATGTCTTGTTTTTGATCTTTAAAATAGGTATGAATATTTATCCTGCTCCATAATGTGCCATATGTATTTTAAGGTAACAACAAAGCTGTAAATTATTTGTAGCTTAATTAACTTTAAAAACAAAACAAGCACACGCACGTTAACAAAAACCCCTTTTAAAGAAAAGTCAGTACTCTCAAATAATATGCCACATTTATCCTGATGGCGTCTAGCACCTGTGACACTTGAAGTGGGGAGGGAAAATGTATACAAACCTCGGCCTGAGGATAACACTTTAAACCCAGTAATAAACTTTGCTTGGTGTGGGAAAATTGGAAGCAGGGAGAGAGGGTTGAGGTGCAGATTGTGGTAAAAAGTTTGTAGTTTGTGACATTCCACTTTTCCTTACTCTGTTTAATAATTCTGAATCTCTGTTTTTACCTAGTTTTATCCCTATTTTCTGACTACTTCACTTTTGCTCTTCCTTTTGTTTATTTCCTCTTTTTTTTCTTTTTGGTTTTCTATAAAAATGTCTTCAGCAGGTTTCCATAGACTTTCAGGTGGTATTTATTTATTTATTTATTTATTTTGCTTTCATATCAATCAAACTGGACCAGCCTTAGTCCAGGAAATCTAGAAACATGTTCTTATAGTGCCTTTTTATGTAGTAACCATTAGAAAGTGTTACTTCTTATAAAGTGACCCACCAAACAATACACAGTTTGGACTACAAGAGAGCAACAGAGTTTGCTTATGCCACTGGAAACCGTTCAATCACAAGAGAAGAGAAGCCTTAGACCAAGGGATACAAAGATCACATATCATTTCTCTCTTTTTGTGCTTTTACCAGGAAGGCGATTTTGTGCCCCAATAAGCCAACCCTAACTAGGGATCCTGTTTTATTTAGAATATTAAGCCATTCACCTTAATGCATGCTCTGTTTTATATCCATTGCCTATTTGCAAATGATAAATTCTTACCCAAATGTCCCTATTACATGTTCAAAGCAGCTGCCTTCTCTATATCTAGTTGCAGGTGTTATTTTGGGCACTTCTTTTAATATTCAGGAAGAAAAGAGAAAATAGCTTGTTAAAAAGTTAAGATACCTCTTAAAACTTGATCGTCTCCCCACCTTCTGAACCCAGCCATCATAATAGGCCTCATCTTTTCACTCAATTGAAAATTCAACTGTTGGAATTCATGGTCTTGCTGTGTTGTTTGCTCCCTCTTTGATAGTTAGCCTGTCTCTGCTGTTCTCTTTCATTCCTCCAGGTATTGGAGATCTCCAGGGAGCATTATCTCCATAAGAATGAGAAAAATGACACTGCAGGATAGAACAGTAGTGTTAATGGGTCAGTGAGTGACAGCTGAGCCTTCTCTCAGAGGTATCAGCCAGGCCAGTGCTGCCAGGAACACAAGAGCTGTACAGTAAAGTGTGCCAATTTAATCTTGTCACACGTAGCCTGGACTGCAAAGATAGAGCTCCCCTTAAAAGCCCAGTGTGTCAAGCCTAAACCCGACTCATGCCAGAAGAGAACATACAAAGATGCTAATTGGAAAATATCTGTACTACGGGTTCCCACAGAAGATGTCCTTTAAAAAAAAAAATTTCTCAACAGGATCTAGTTAAGATAATAAATAATAAAATGTGAAACTCCCATAGACCTCTTGGTCATCAGTTACCCTATATATCCTAAATTCAACTTAAAAATAGACATCTGAAATCAAACAATGTTGAAGCATTTCAATTAAACTGATTAATCTTGATAATGACTTTTTGACTTTTATTGCTATCCTTCCAAATCCATCTACATTTTTCAAAGAAAGAATGAAATTTCCAGACATCAGGGTAAAATGTTTATCCTGAGCTGTTGAGCTTCTCCTCTTACATGCCCCCCAGCTAGATAGGATTCAAGCTATTCACGGACAATAGAGCCAATGATGGTGTTCTTTTCTTCAAATGATTTATTTTTTGTCCTGTCCTTGTTCAATACTATGTTGATTACCAAACAGAACTAAGAAGTCATCTACGTACTCACCACAGAAATGTTATTTGCAATTAGAAACCCCATAAATTCTAAGTTTTTAATTAACACCAAATCTCACTTTTAATCTACTTGAAATTAAAGGAAAACAGATGAGCACTCTTATAAGGCCAATGGCAGACTTTACATTTAATTAATAAAAACCCCTATAAAAGAAGAGCCAGTGATTATAGTAGCAGTCATTCATGCCAGTGTGACAGCATTTCACATTTCATGTCTGATGGTTGATCCTACAGGGGTATTTCTGAATTTATCTTAAAAGTGTCACTCCCATGGCATCAATAACACATATTTTTTAAATAATAGACAAGGAAATGTGAAAAAGAACAGTGAGAATGTTTGAAGGATATTTACATTTCTTCAGTAATTATTGCACTTTTTCACCAAATGTTAGGTGAAGAAAGCTGTTAAAGAGTGAATATTTTCTAGATAAGCAATATCAGATCTCATTAGATGATTAGTGGCAGTGTATTTTTTTCATAGCTCTAAGATTTGGCAATTAAGAGTGATGAGTAAGAACTTAGTGCAAAAATTACAAGTTATATATATATAACTCTGAGAAGAATTTCTCTGTTGGAGAAAAGACACAATGTCAGTACCATATATTTTGAAAAATGATGACAATCAAGCAAAGTTTCTCTCTAATATTACAATAAGCAAAGCTATTCCAGAACACTTCAGAGGCTTGGGCAAACAATATTTTTTCTTGTATGATCTTACTATATTTGAAATATGATTAAAATAAAAATCCAGGATAGATTAATTCAAAGAGAAGACTTAATTAGAAATGAGAGGTAAAGTAGAAGTGCTTCTCATCCTACCCAGATAATGATGGTGTGAGAAAAAGGAAGACATTGTGGGTTAATTTTTAGTGTAACAGATGGACCACCATCTTTCTCCTGATAGATGACCGGAGTCATCTGAGTCATCATGCTCCTAGTGCTAAATCCACTATTTCAAGAGTTTGGGATGAGGGTCTAACATATATGATAAAAGAGATCATGAAGCAAAATTGTAAAATAAAACTTTGCGAACATTTTAATAACTTCTCTATAATTAGAGCTGTAATTGAATATGGCCAAGTGACATAAGAAGTAAAATTTTATGTATAAAATCTGTTGTCAAGATTTACTACAGTCTGGTGTCTCAACCAGTAGAGGACTAGAACATGAGTCAAGAGTTTTGAACTGATTCCTGCTCAATATTTTGAGTTGCTTTGTAAAACCACAATCCCCATTCAAAGGAAAAATCATTAATTCAATAAACATTCCTGACAAATCACAGCAGTTTCAAGAAAGTCCAAGTCAGAGTTAAATCTATTTGCCTGTTCTCCTAAAATCTTTACACTTCTTGGGCAAATCTTGTACTTAGCAGATTTTAATTCTCACATACTTAAAACCCCATGTCTCAAATTTTTATTCTGCAAATAAACATACATTTACCCCTAGTAACCTTGATTTTATTATACTAGCAATAAAGTATACACAAAATATGCTAGTAAAAATGAATGCTATATATTCAATATTGCAATGAGGGCTTCTCTCCTCTGTGCAGTCGTTTTAATATATTAGTTTCCTCTTAACTGTACCATGTTATTACGTTTTCTTTATATATGCCCTCCCACAACCCTTCTAATGACTTTTGGTGGAATATTAACTGTTTCTAATATCAGTATGCCCATGTAATAACAAAATTACCACGACTATTTCCTTTGACTTTGCCTCTTTGAAGAAGACCTAAGTCACTGACGGATGTTTAAAGAGAGAGGAAGGAATATTGGCAAAAATCCAGGGCACTGCTGCCCCCTAGAAGGAAGTTTGAGCAGCACATTTGACAAACACAAATCTTGAGAGAAACAGACTTTGAGGAAGATTGCTAATCATGCACCCCACTTTAAGAACCTACTGTTGACCACATCTTCAGTTTTCTTTGCCCTGTCTTACATCTAAGCTAGGGCACAGTGTTATCTATTACATCGTAAACTTAGACCTGTATAGATTCTGTCCAAATAGATTCATAGGAGATACCTGTGAATATGTACAGACATATAAGCACATTTTTCTTGGCAAATAATTTTTTTTAATAATGAGAATGAATTTTTCGATTATTACATGCATTAATTTGAGATATAAAACATCATAAATATTTCCCAGGTATGTGATAGAATAGACTTGCATCTCTTTCCTAGAGATACAAAGTTAAGGAAGTTTGTATCTCCAGGAAATACAGTTTGCTCATTTGACCCTCATATGGTTTAGTGTCTCATTCCCAATTTCTGGAAGAGGAAACTGAGGCCAAGGAATTAGGCAAATACAAAGCTAATTTAAAAAAGTAAAATATTTATTCTTCGTTTATTCATCATGTATGCATGAAGTGCCTTTCTTTTATATATCCCCTTTCTGTATTAAGTAGTAGAAGTACAATAATAACATACAATTAAATTTTCCTCTATTTAATCCAGTTTATATAGAGGTGTTGTGAGCTCTTCCAGATTTCCTGGCACTGCCTAGAGAAAAGGACAACTCATCATTGAAAGACAGAGGGAGAGACACATAAGCAGCTGTTATAGATGCAATAAAACTAATGTATTACATTCCAGGCAATGGTTAAAATGACAGTTTGTCTTTATTAGGATCAATGATGAACAAATTAAAAATAAAGTACTGTCAAACAGCAATATACAAAACAGAACACTCTAATTTTGTAAAGTTGTGTAGTCTCCTTTAATTTGGTTATACAGCAGAGCTGAAAAGGCACACTGGGAAATATGAAAATCAGGATCTCATAATTATACAATACATTATGAATATGAATGCAGTTTCTCCAAGCAACCTAAGACAATGCTATAGATGTTTTATGGAGCTTCTCATGCATGAGAATCTTTCTGTTCCCATGGACCCACTGTGCATTTAGATTCTAAGATATTTCCATATTACCCAACACTGAAAATCTAAAAGGCCATTATCGGGGAGCCTTAGAGACAATTTCAATTTAGAGGCCCAATGGTAAATGAAAATAGTGTCCAAGAAGAGCTTTTAAGCTTAAACATCTTAAGCACTCATCAAAACATAATCAGGCAACAAGATTATTGGGGTTCATTAGGAATTTAACAAGCTCTTGTCAGGGCTACCAGCTGGTCATGCTGCTTCCAATCTTCTGGACCCTGAATATCCCACTGAAATTTATGGTGTATTTCTCCAAAAGCTTTTAACTTTTCTATACTTTCATCTAGCTTTCTTCCCAGTTCATTTCATGGTAAAAATCACCTGTATTTATAAGAATGCATTACAACTTTTCCAAGGGAATTTCCAAGTTTCATATAACATGGAATTTCATATAATATGGAACTTTTCCATATTATATGAAAAGTCATATGGACTGCATTGGATCCTGACACTGATCAGAGCAGAAACGGACTCAGCAAGGGTAGTAAGCCCAGTAAACACTGGGCATGTTCTCAGCTCATGCATCTGATTCACGGAGAGCCAGAATCTTCTGTTGTGATCCATTGCTTCCTGCATGCATGCCCTACACTGCTCCCCTGCCCCAGCTGCCTGTCTCCTGAAGAATTTTTACATCTATCAGAACTTCCTTCCTGCTAATCTCAGCAGAAGAGGAATCATATTCTTATCTGGAAATCTAACTCCTCAGCCTTTGCTACAGAACTTGCTATTCCTTCATAATGAGATACTGTTCTCATATTCACCCCACTCCCACACCCCCACCAAAGAATCATCAATTTTGTCTTCTTCTTTGGCTTGCTTTCATGCTCAGATTTCCTCAGCTCTGAAAGAAGATATCAGACTCCTCATTGCCTCTTTTAGATCTCATCCTATATTATTCCTTTTATCTAGTCAAGCTCCACAAATATGCAGCCTGCACCCACAGTCTCCATTTACTTTCTTCTAATTGCTTCCATATGCTTCTGCAATCTGTGTTGTCAACAATGAACTGAAATTTCTCACATCAAGGACTTGGTTAAATTTAATGACAATTTCAGTGTTATCACTCTTCGAAACTCTTCACTACATTAGTGTTTTTCCACGGATATTCCCTTATCCCAACTTAAAAATTAAAATCATTTTTTTTATGCTGCTTGTACTCCAGACTTCATTTCCTGTATGTCAACCTCCACCCAAAAAGTAAGTGGGGGTCTAAAGTTTAATGATGTATGCTTTATTCTTGCCAGCTTAAATGATTACCCAAAGGGACTCATGTGATTTATTGGTTTAATTCTCACCAGTAAGGAGATGCTAACTATATTTTCAACATTAACTTCCTTCATTCTCTCTAGTCTACCAGAAAAAGTATGTTAAAACCCTGTAGCTGTTTAAACTTGAAAATTTCCAAAAAGAAATGTTTTCTCTCTTCTCCCCATTTAAATAAAAATATCTATTCATCTTAAGTTTCTCATCATCAGAGACCTATTTCTGGTTTATAAACTTAATAAATATATATATATATATTGACTACAGTGTCTTTAAAAATTCTATATTGTAAATGCAGAAAAGCATAAAGACAGAAAAATTAAATCACCAAAAGTTATCTGCTATTAAGTTTTGATTTATTTTTATCTTTTTATTTCTAATACAATCAAGGTTATATGTTTTATAACTCTTGAGTTTTTTTCCTTAGCATCATATTATAATTATTTTCAAAATTACCAAAAGCCATTTCAAAGATCATTTTAATGGTTACAAAAAATCTCTATTACATGAGTTTACCATAACTCTCTAAAATGTCCCCCTACAACTGAACCCTTGTATTATTACTGAATTTATACCATGCACCAGGCACTGTTAGTGAAAGTACTGATTTTTAAGATTTACTTTGTAATATTTTAACACAAAACATTGAATGTGTTCAATATACCACCTCTTCTCCTTTATGCTTTTATTTGCACACAATCATGTACTTATAAATAACTACTTATTGTTTTCTTTTTAAAGATTTTAGTCTTTGAGACATCTGGAGTTATTGGATAATATAGAGAGATAACACTACAGTTTTATTTTGTCTGCTAAATTCTTCTCACTTTCATGTATTGAGTAGTCCATATCTTTATTGTTTTCAAATGCTCACTTTGTATCTATATCTAGGTCTACATCTTCATAAGCTAAAACTTTTGTTTCTGAGTTCGTTTTATTATCTGTCAGTTGATTCTTATGGGAGCACTTCTCAGTTCTGATTATTATAGCATCATGTAATTATATATTTGATAGTCCAAACCCTTTCTCATTACACTTTTTTAAAAATCCTCTAAGATTTTATAGCCTGTACAATATTTCCTATGAAGACCAGAGTAATTTTATTACATTAAAAAATAATTTGGAATTTGGATTAGAATTAAACATGTAAAATAAAGTGGAGAGAATTCTGTCTTTACAATGTTTAGTTTTGTTATCCAAGAATATGCATCTCTCAGCTTACTCAGAATTATATACACTGACATCGTGTGGTTTCCTTATGAAAATACTATATATTGTTAAGCTGTTTCTCAGCTTGGGTGATGGTGATTTTAATAGGCAATTATTTATTTACTTCTTCCCATCTTCCAGTCACTTTGCTAAGTGTATTGCAAGCAATATTTTACTTAACCGTCACAACAGTCCGATGACATGGATAAGATTGCCTTTCTTATTGTTACTGATAAGAAAACAAATGCTTTAATAGTCAGTATTTTTAAGAACCAAAAGCCAGCAAGTGATAGAAACTGGACTCAAGTGATAGAAACTGGACTTCAGATCTGTCTAACTCCTAAGTTCCTAATGTTTCATCAATAATTAGCTCTAAGACTGAAACTCTTCATCAATGAAATCTTCTACTTTTGACTTTTTACTACATTTTAAGCAAATGTGTTAAAACTCACCAAATATATATTCAAGAATAATGAAAATAGTCATATCACATCTTTTTATTTGACTTAATATGTTGGCATTGAAGGCCACCCCTAGGGGTGTGGGGCACTGGAAAAAATATTTTTGTGGAGATTCAAGCTGTATTAGAAAATTCTTGAGTCCATATAGGGTATAGCGATTTAGATTATTTAGAATTTATTATTTAGAATAATGAATAGAAAAGAGGTAGATTATTTAGAATATTGAATATTATTTAGAATAATGAATAGAAAAGAGGTAACACATTTGTTGCCTAATTGGAGCTTGTGAAGATTCTTGATAGTATCAACAGGAACAGTCCATCCTTGTTCATGCCTAATAACCATCTCTTCCTGTTTTTTATTGCCAATGCACCATTTCTATCTCATTTCATATCTACTTCCTCAAGAAAGAGGTAGTACTTGTTATTAACCACAAAGCAGTGGTGATGACGTTGTGGAGCAATATTCTGTTTACACCGAAGCCATTTAGATTGTTTTGACTCTGTAGCGCCCTAATTTATTAATTCTGGTTACATCGTTGCACATGATGCTGTCACTACATTCTGTCACTCATGAACACTAGCTTCTCAAAGGTTGTTACTGTGCTTTATTGATGATGACCACAGATGCAAGTTTTATCCATAGTCTGCAGGGAAAAATAACTGATAATTCAACTTCTGGCCACATTCAACTTACCTTTATGGTATCTGCGGCATAAGTTTAGAACAACACATTTTCCAACTATGTCTTCTTTTGAGAAGTTTAGGCTATAATCATAGCATTCTTTTGATGCGATTTCTTTCCTTGTTGATTGTACTCCTGCCTTCTGCCTATCACTACTAGCTAGAAGGGCTTTGGAAAGAGTGAGAACACTTCTATTCATGTAAGGAATGATTTTCCCTCCTGTGGCACAGCTTAAGACCAACCAAGGAGACCACAATGTCACAGCATCAATTAGAGGCAAAAGAGGAACTCTATGAGAAAGGCCTGATAGCACTGTGGAGCAATAGTCTCATGTTTCATAATAATAATCACTACCTTTTATTGATTGCTTAACATATAATACTGTGCTAAACTTTATCATCGGTTATCTAATTTAATTCTCACAAGCACACTTTTATGTTAAAATGTGGTTTATTGAAACATTTAACTTAGCCCACATGACAGAGCTGTAAATACTGTAGCCAGATTGTGAATCAATTTAGTTTGGGTCCAGAGTTCTCACTCTTAATGGTTGTAGTGTGGAGAATGAGTATTAAACGAGACTGGTTCTCTGCCCTCAGGAACATTGAATTCTTGTGCAGGTCTATGAGAGGCCCAATCAGATTCCACTTTTTGCCTAGGCTCTAAAAAACTGACATATAAGGTAAATGATTCACAAGTGAAAGATAAAATATCATCTGAGTTCTGTAGTTTCCATTCAAGAACAGCTTAGTGTGAAAGCAGAATCGCGTTTGCTAACCCAAGATTAAGTGGACATACCTACTTGGTTACAGGCAATGCTTGACCAGGAGGGTAGAAACAGTGAGTGGGGAGAGCAGAGAGAAAGTCCTGCCATGCGTGGGAAGCTCATTCTCAAGAGGAAGAGAGAGGACCTGAGCCAAGCATTCCATTTTTACTTTCTAAATTTGCCATCTAGATAAGGCACTAGCCTCTTTTAGGTGGAACAGCTGAAAGGATGGACAAAACCCAGAAGTTGTCTGTCCAACCCCAAGTACTGATAAACTCCTTCTCCTTTCTCACTTACATGTCCAACATCTCCCATCCCCCAATGAACCACTCTTTTCAGGCCAGCCTATTGTTGATCTATTCACTGCAACTGGGAAACTATGTATGTTGCTCCTTCTGTCTCATTATTTCTAGTTTTTGTTTGGTTGCCCAGGGGTGATTCAATTCTCACAGTGTGGGTGGTGAGTTCTGTGAATTGTTGGTTTGGGAGTAGAAGAAACACATTAATACTTGGAAATCATATCCTTCTAAAAAGCTACACTTGGAAAACACATGAGCGTTAAACAGTTTTTGCAAAAACTAAATTTAAATGTTAATCATGGAATGAGCACACAGAACATAATAGATATATAAATATAAATATTCAGGTAAGAATACAAAGGGAGAAAGGATTCATTTTATAATATTAACAAACATAATAAGATAGCTTAGAAAATGTTTAGTGAGAAATGTTCTTATATGAAGAAACATAGAATTCCAACTAAGGAACATAAAAATATGAAAAATTGAAAGACACATCTGTTTTACAGGTACAAAAATATTATTTTAGCTGCATTCTTCTAAAATTAATGTTATCTAAAACAAAATGATGAAGGAATGAGGGGGGAATAATTACAAAAATAGAAGTAAAGTTGTTATAAAAAATAACCAAGGGAGAATTTCTTTTTTTTTTTCCTTTTTTTTTTTTTTTTTTTAATTATACTTTAAGTTCTAGAGTACATGTGCACAACGTGCAGGTTTGTTACATATGTATACATGTGCCATGTTGGTTTGCTGCACCCATTAACTCGTCATTTACATTAGGTATTTCTCCTAATGCTATCCCTCCCCCAAGCCCCCACCCCACGACAAGCCCCAGTGTGTGATGTTCCCCGCCCTGTGTCCAAGTGTTCTCATTGTTCAATTCTCACCTATGAGTGAGAACATGTGGTGTTTGGTTTTGTGTCCTGTGATAATTTGCTCAGAATGATGGTTTCCAGCTTCATCCCTGTCGCTACAAAGGACATGAACTCATGCTTTTTTATGGCTGCATAGTATTTCATGGTGTATATGTGCCACATTTTCTTAATCCAGTCTCCCATTGATGGACATTTGGGTTGGTTCCAAGTCTTTGCTATTGTGAATAGTGCTGCAATAAACACACGAGTGCATGTGTCTTTATAGTAGCATGATTTATAATCCTTTGGGTATATACCCACTAATGGGATCGCTGGGTCAAATTGTGCTTCTAGTTCTAGATCGTTGAGGAATTGCCACACTCTTCCACAATGGGTGAACTAGTTTACAGTCCCACCAACAGTATAAAAGTGTTCAAATTTCTCCACATCCTCTCCAGCACCTGTTGTTTCCTGACTTTTTAATGATCACCATTCTAACTGGTGTGAGATGATATCTCATTGTGGCTTTGATTTACATTTCTCTAATGACCAGTGATTATGAGCATTTTTTCATGTGTCTCTTGGCTGAATAAATGTCTTTTGAGAAGTGTCTGTTCATATCCTTCAACCACTTTTTGATAGGGTTGATTTTTTCTTGTAAATTTGTTTCTTTGTAGATTCTGGATATTAGCCCTTTGTCAGATGGGTGGATTGCAAAAATTTTCTCCCATTCTGTAGGTTGCCTGTTCACTCTGATGGTAGTTTCTTTCACTGTGCAGAAGCTCTTTAGTTTAATTAGATCCCATTTGTCAATTTTGGCTTTTGTTGCCATTGCTTTTGGTGTTTTAGACATGAAGTCCTTGCCCATGCCTATGTCCTGAATGGTAATGCCTAGGTTTTCTTCTAGGGTTTTTATGGTTTTAGGTCTAACGTTTAAGTCTTTAATCCATCTTGAATTACTGTTTGTATAAGGTGTAAGGAAGGGATCCAGTTTCAGCTTTCTACATATGGCTAGCCAGTTTTCCCAACACCATTTATTAAATAAGGAATCCTTTCCCCATTTCTTGTTTTTGTTAGGTTTGTCAAAGATCAGGTGTTTGTAGATGTGTGGTGTTATTTCTGAGGGCTCTGTTCTGTTCCATTGGTCTATATCTCTGTTTTGGTACCAGTACCATGCTGTTTTGGTTACTGTAGCCTTGTAGTATAGCTCGAAGTCAGGTAGTGTGATGCCTCCAGCTTTGTTCTTTTGGCTTAGGATTGTCTTGGCAATGCAGGCTCTTTTTTGGTTCCACATGAACTTAAAGTAGTTTTTTCCAATTCTGTGAAGTCATTGGTAGCTTGATGGGGGGATGGCATTGAATGTATAAATTACCTTGGGCAGTATGGCCATTTTCATGATATTGATTCTTCCTATCCATGAGCATGGAATGTTCTTCCATTTGTTTGTGTCCTCTTTTATTTCGTTGAGCAGTGGTTTGTAGTTCTCCTTGAAGAGGTCCTTCACATCCCTTGTAAGTTGGATTCCTAGGTATTTTATTCTCTTTGTGGTAATTGTGAATGGGATTTCATTCATGATTTGCCTCTCTGTTTGTCTGTTATTGATGTATAAGAACCAAGGGAGAATTTCTAGAGATTTTTCGAAAAAGATTATTGAGGGATTTCTTCCTAATCTATATTAAAATGTTTCAAAAGTAACAATAAATTAAAGAGTTAGTGCTTTGTGGAGTGAGAGCCCAAAGACTCAGAGTCAAAAAGTAGGTAGATATGGGAATTTAGTATATGAAAAATATATAATACCAAGTTAGTGAAGAAATGTGGATGCTGGCGCATGATGTTGGGACAAATGGCTAGCAACTTAGGAAAAATTATTAGTTTTTTTCTTCTTCATTGTTTTCAGAATTTATATTAATTTTCTTATCCACTTCCCACTATTTCTTCTAGAATTTTTATATTATTATTTAAAATTAAGGTTTGTATGACTGTATAGTTGGTTTTGGTATAAATAGTAAGTTAAGTAGCCAAATTTTAGAAAATTTACAAAGTAAGAAAAGTACTTGCAATACATGAGATTCAAAGAGTAAATTACCTTAGAATGCAAAGAACAAATAAAGAAAAAGAAATATAATAAAAGGAAAAGTAGCAAAGGAATTATAGTTCATAGAAAAAGAAAGTGCCAAGAAACAGTTTAAAAAGTTCAACCTCATTTATTATTAAAAACATAACAAAGACAGGGAGGTATCATTTTAACTTCAGACTTTCCAAAAATTAAATTAAATAATATCTAAAGTGTAGGAAGCAGAACTCTTGCTACTGCAGATGGAAGAAGAAGTTGCTCTCAATGATTTTGGCACTTATCATCTGACTGACTGTATTTTTTTCTTGCTTTATTTATCATTTTTTTTCTCTCACTAGACTACAAAGACCAGTTTGCAAATATAAGACTCAGTCTCCTTTGTTCACAGTAATACTTCATGAGTTAAAACATTGTGTTTTAACTATTCTATAAAATTCTATATATTCTGTAAACATTTATTAGAAAAAATGATTGGGTATACTTTTCTGAGAATCATTTTCCTCACCCATAAAGTAAAAATTAGGTCCTAAAAAATGTTGGCAGGGAAGCATTAAAGAAGACATATGATCTATTGAGAATAATTGATCTGTTAAGAAAAATAAATGAACATTTGTTAAAAAATGTTCTCAAGGGGTCAAAATAATGAAATCCAGGTACTTTACAGCTCAAAAAATAAATATGTTGAGGAAAAGACTCTTTTCTTATTTACCCTATGAAATTGCACTGCCTGGTAAAATAATAAAAAATAAACCAAAGATAATAAATATTAGGAAAGATAATATGTGAAATAATAATCATTTATTTTTTCAGAAGAAGACAACCAACTTATCAGTAGTACTTTGCATTATATTCAGTGTCCTGTAAGCTCAACACTTATGCAGAAAGTTTACTGCATATATTTGCTGTTATTAAAAGAGCACGAATTAACATGCAGTTATGCATGAAGAGGAAGCATATGGGACAAATGTTGAAGGAGAACTGTATATACATTTGGTTTAGTAATTCAACATCATTAATTTGTGTTTGAAATGCAATACATATTTATCTTAAAAGATTTGGGGCCAAAAATATGCAAATTACATGGCTTCATAGAATTGACAATAAAGTAAAACAAGAGACAATACACTAAACCGAGAATGGTGCTAAACCAAGAGTAATTTGTAATAGAAAGGAAGACTATCAACTACTGAACACCAGGTGCACTTCGAATGCTGATTCAGAGACTTCAGGAAGAGATTTGCTAATTTTGGATTATAAATAGTACATTTTAGTAACCAAAAATATTTTAATTAGGAGGTTAGTCATAAGTATCCCCTTTGTAAAAAATGGGTCTCTGAAACTTTGTTCGTTCTCAAGTGGAATAAAATAAAATTTGCATCTTTGGATCGGTTCCCAGTAGATCAAGAAAATCCTTGGTGGCTTTTCAGTGAGCAATTAAATCATAATCTAAGCATCCTAGCTGAGGGGTAGGGACCTCAAAAAAGAGAAAGAAACATGCGGACTCTTTCACTACTGTAGACCTACCCGAGTATTAGGGCTGGAAAGCCAAACTTTTTACTACTAAGGTCATTTTTTTATTCTCTCAAGCTAGCTTGGGAAATGGTTCATGGGGAAAAAAGCAAGGGAAAGAAAAGAAAGAAAAGAGAAAAGAAGCCTATATTAGGAGACACTACAAATGCTATAAAACCTCCATGCTGGGCCAAATAACCCTATCATCTGCCTCCCAGTTCTGACTGGTTGCTGAACGAATGAATGTTTAATGAAGTGGAGCAATATAAAGGGAGAAAGGAAGCAGTTATCTTTGTTACTAAGAAGAGGGAGAGGGGTAAAACTCAGTCGTTCTCAAGTCGGGGTGATTCTCTCCCCCAAGGGACATTTGGTAATGTCTGCAGACATTCTTATTTATTCCAACTTGGGGCGTGCTATTGGTATCTAGTGGGTGGAGGTCAGATACACTGCTAAGCATCCTACAATGTACAAGACAACCTCCCTATCAAAAAAAAAAAAATATCATCCAATCCAAACCATCAACAGTGCCAAAGTTGAGCAACCCCAATATACACCTTTGTATCCATCTCGTTGAATGAACTGAATTCAATAAGGTGCATATATGTAACTTTATTCATTTTCTCCATTGGGCACAATCTGTGGACTGGTTCTTTTCCTGCTCACGGATAATTTGTCAAATTAGTCTAATCATTTTTTGAATCTCTTGTATTTAAAAGACAGCCTCATTTCAAAATGTAAAACGGCCAATCATTATAATAGCAAAATGTATCCAATTCAAGGCTTCTCTCCTTTGGGGTTATCTGCCTCTCCAGTTCCACACCACCCTTTTCTCCATCCTGTCCTGGCCCCCATCCACTGACATGCATATATCAGAAGGCTCCAGTGCCTTCTGACTTCTGTTTGGGTTTGGCCAATAATGAGCTCTGGTAGGTGGACACAGGGAGCTTACATCCCAAGTTCCTCCCTACAGGGTGTCCAAAGGCTGGCAGCTTCTCTTGAGCAAAGGGCATATTCCGTCATACAGTTCTCTCCACACAGCATTGTCCATGGCAGGTCCCTGTAAGTACTCCCTCCCTTGCCTCTGCAGAATAGGGGTGGTAACTGCCCTCTGTTACTGACATCAGGACCCTGCATCCAGCCTAGTGTCTCTATTTGTCTCTCTTTTTCTTACCCCATTTAGTTGGCATCTGTGTCCTACCAGGTTTCTGAAACACCCCACTTGGATTGTTTGGGGCCTAGGTACTTACAAAGTGGGAGAGGAACTGGGCTGGGTTCTTTACTATTTATTCTGCCAACTCTCTAAAATTTTACTTCTGGCCTTAATTCTCAAAACTTTTGAATTTGTATCAGATCTTTGCTTCTGAGGCAGACCCAAATAACAGCAACGTTTTTCCCTCCCTAAGTTCTAAACTAACTGAGAAAGATGGAAAATGAATAGAAAATGAAGACAAAGCAAATATCACCGATATTACTGACAACGGCTAAGTTACAGGATATACAAGTCAAATAGGTCTGCTAACTGAACCCCTAAATTAGGCAGCTCTCAAATGCAGTCATGGAATAGCTTTCTTCTTGGAGGAGCAGAAGAGACTCTGGTTTTCTACAGGTAGCACTCTGAAGAGAAAGAAAAGAGAAGTGGGGAGCTCAGCTAAGCAAGCTCATTTTGTACCTTGCTTCCCTGGATGGAATGAGGAGAAGGGCAGAGAGAGGCTAGGAATGACTAATGAATGCCCACCAAGGGGCAGGATGTGGCTACAGTGGGGAGGAATCGTTGTCTTATGGGTTTTCTTTGGTTATTTCATTTTGCTTTGTTTTTCTTTTTTCTTTAATGCCTAACTCATCGGGCTTTACCATCAAATCTATTATCAACAGGTCAACAGTGACTTTTTCCTTTAAGAAAAAAAAAAACAACTTCATTAAAGTAGTTTTTATCTTACCTTTATTAGACCATTCCCCAGACACTCTTCAGGGTTTTACTCGGCTTTTGTCATTAAAAGGCTCTGAAGTGACTTAGACATTATCAGTTAGGGTTAGGTTTGTTGCAAGCTAAATAAAATTCACTTAAGTGGTTGCTTGTATAATAAAACTTCCATTCTCTCAAACAGAACACATCATCAGGAATCCAGACTCCTTCCATGTCTCTGCTCCTCTATCCTTCACACGTAGCCCCTGTTTTCAAACCTAAAGGTGGTCGTGAGATCTCCAGCCATCACATCTGCTTCTCAGGGAGCAAGATGGAAGGAGAACAGGAAAGGACAAAAAAAAAATACAGATGAAAGTCATATTCAGAGTTTTCCTTGAAATCACACAATGTTCTTTCTACTTACATTTCATTGCCAATTAATTCGTGACAAGGCCACACTTCATGAAAGGTGTGAAAGCTGGAAAGTGTAGTCTTTCCAATAGGCACATAAGTAAAATAGGGAATTCAGTTATTATAGAATAACAAGAGAATGAATTTTAGTATAGCTGATTATCAGTTTGTCACAGAACAAATTAAATTAACACTAAGGCTGCTCTGTTACCAGGGCTAATTTCACTCATCCCAAATTATGTCCAGTCATCTTTCTCATGCAGCACATGAGAGGATTTGCAATGTGATTGAAAGAAGACAGAAACTCTGATATAATAAAATATGAAACAAATGAGGATAAGGTGAAAAACCTTTCCCTCAATTTTGGCCAAACAATGCAGAAGAACCTCAAGTGTCTCTTTGAACAGGAGGGTAAATGGGGAAAAGTATTGGGGCTTAGCCTCATCGGAATACTAGTTAAGTTTTCCAGAATACATAACCTGTAAATTTAACTTGACAGAAACTTCTAGCTATTTAATTTTCACACTATACATTTGACATATCAGGGCTGGGGGTGGGGCGGGTGGGAGTTTCCTATGTCTACCATATTCTCTCTCAGAGAGCAGATCTCAGAAAGTTTAAAAATGGTGACAGAAGCTGAGCACAGTAGCTCACACCTGTAATGCCAACACTTTGGGAGGCCGAGGCAGGAGGGTCACTTGAGGCTGGAAGATCAAGACCAGCCTGGGCAACATAACAAGACCTTGTTTCTACCAAAACAATACAAAAACAAATTACCCAGGTATGGTGGTGTGCATCTATAGTCCCAGCTACGCTAGAGGCTGAGGTGGGCAGATAGTTTGAGCACAGGAGTTTGAAACTGTAGTGAGTCAACATCATGCCACTGCACACCAGCCTGGGCTACAGAGCAAGAACCTGTCTCAAAAAAAAAAAAAAATGGTGATAGACACAGTCAAGTGGTCTTAAATGTGTGTTTTTCTTTTCAAATCAGCATATTTCCAAATCTTTTAACTTCTATTTCCTCTCAGTATCCGATCCAGAATTTGCAGTGAGGGTTGTCTAGTAACATAGCCACCACCATTTCTTGTGAATCAGCACCATAGACCTGTGTGCAGTTGTTTCTGCCACTGACTCTCTTTAAAGAATTCCTAAGGACTAAGAAAGCTGTGCCCAAAGAATTGTTTTCTATTCTGTACTTGTATTTGTTATAGCATATACGCCACCTTCTGAGCTGAATTGAAGGTTTCTGTATTGAAGCTGCTGTTGATGCTTCAATTGCACAGGCACATGCTTCTGCAGACTTTGCCATTTCTCCATTTCTGATTTTCATAAAGTTCTTGGGAATGTTCCAACAGAGCAGAAGCAGCACTTGCAGGCCCAGTTATAGTAAGCGAATCACTGAACCACACCCAGCAATTATTTCACCAGTTTCAATTCCTGAGCCAAATGATAAGCTACATTAAATTAAAAATTGTCAATTCAGATCTTCTTTATTGGCCCTGAATTCAGAATGGAATTTTGGAGAACCAGCCTAGTGCAACTTACCAAGTCTTCTCTCACACATAAAGCTTTGCTTCACCTGTGCCTGTTTAGGAAAAGCTCTGCCTGCAACATCGTGAACCTTGAAGACATCTACATCATTAAAAACCAGCAGTTTTGCTGAGGCCCATAGTCTGCCTGATTTTCTTACCTTTGTTAAGGGCTGTGCCATTGCTGAGGTCACTGTGTTCTCATTTCTGCTTGCCAGGCTACCTGTGCCTGCCCGTTGGCCAGTGTTGGGGTGTTTTTATTTTGCTCCCTGACATTTTCCTCTCTGTGATTTATTTTTTAACAAGTTGCCTAGCCTAAAAAAATGTTGAGATTTCCTAGGGGGACTAACAAATTGAGAGTTTAAAAAGGAATGTTAAATGATAGTCAAATATCACATTTATTACTGGTAGAAGATGGAGTTGAGGGAGAAAGTCAAATTCACTTGCTGATCTTACCCCACAAATAGGCAGATTTACCCACCAAGACACAAGTAATACTGTAAAGTTTCCCACAAGGCAGAGTGGAATGGCAGGCAGCCCATTAAAGGAGATGAAGTAAGCTAAATGGATTCCTGGGTTATATTTTCCAAATTTACAAATCAAATAAGTTCTTTCCCTCCTATGAGGGAGGATGAATAAAGGGACGGTGTAGGTGAAGAATGTTACAAATTTGAGTTCTCTTCATATGGAAGGAAACATCAGGAATAAAGATCCCTGCCAAAATAAATAATTTTATTTGTCCTAATATTAAATAACTAATAAATGTATTTATTTAAGATTGGAATAAAAGTAGAGATCAGGGAGCTACTAGAACTTTTGATAAAGGACTTGATCTATTCTCTTGATCATTATTTCTCAAGGGGGATCATTATTTGCATTTTGAAAGAAAATATTTTTTGTGCAAAATCAACCTCCCTTTGTGGATAATTTAGCATTCCTGGTTGCTGAGCATTCAATGACAGTATCACTTTCCTGGAGTCACTCTTACAATAAAAAATATTTCTGCATGTTCTTAGGTATTTTCTAAGTGGTGGCAATTTCCTCAATCGCTAACCACTATTCTAGGTGATCCAAAAGAATTCTCATACTTCACTTGGAATTTTGAAATATGAGCAAAAATTGGATTAGCAAAGAGGGAAAAAATTGTATCTCAAGCAGAGGAAACATATTAGATGGTGGGGAGGAGCATAGCCCATTAAAGTACTGAGAAAACATCTTTGAGCCTAGAGCCCAGACAGTGGAAGAAGTACTGGCAGAGGAGGCTGGTGAGTCAGATGTTGAGAGTGTAAACGACTGAAGTGTTTTTTTGTTTTTTGGTGTTTTTTGGTGTTTTTTGGTGTTTGTTTGTTTGTTTGTTTGTTTTGAGTTGGACTCTCGCTCTGTCGCCCAGGCTGTAGTTTGATGGTGGGATCTCGCCTCACTGCAACCTCCACCTCCCAGGTTCAAACGGTTCTCCTGCCTCATCCTCCCTAGTAGCTGAGAGTACAGGCTCCTGCCACCACACCCAGCTAATTTTTGTATTTTCAGTAGAGACGGGGTTTTCACCATATTGGCCAGGCTGGTGTCTTGGCCAGGCTGGTCTCGAACTCCTGACCTCGTGATCCACCCGCCTTGGCCTCCCAAAGTGCTGAGATTACAGACGTGAGCCACCATGCCAGGCTGAAGTGCTTTAATAAGGGAAAGGCATGTTGACATTTTTTGTTTTAAAGTGAATCATTTCATTGCATGATTCTTATTTGCATTAAGCTTATTTTGAATTGATATTCATTGTTTGCACTAACATGAGCACCTTTCTAATTCACATGATGTGCGTGTGTGTGTGTGTGTGTGTGTGTTTTGCTCGTTTGTTAGATTGGCAGGATTTTTCTAATAGAATAAGAACATTTCATATAAAATGAAAATGAAGCGTCTTTTAATTACCCATGCTTTCACTCCTCATTGATTTCTACACCATGTTATTGCATATAAGATGAAAACAAATCCAATTGTTCCATCCAGAACATACTGCACATGAGTCTCTTTTTCACATTGCCTAGTCTTTAAAACTTTAGGAAAGAAAGCTTCATAGATCTGCTGATGAAAGTGTTCAGTTAATTAGTAAATACTAAAGTAAGAAAGGCTTGTTTTAATTGTTCATTTCCACACTACCACCCTGAGAACAGGTCCTTCTCGTAAAAGAACATAGATGCTGACAAAAAGGGGAAAAATAAACCATAAGTGATATAATGACTCCAAAGGAAATATAAAGAAATAGACTGGATATTGCACATTTCTTTGTTTAAACATTTAATCGAGATGGAAAATTTATTTTATTTTTAAGACAAGAGACAGTGATTAACCAGGTAACAATGTATACCTTTATACAATATGTATAGCAAAGTCCTAGTTAATGAAGCTCATAGAATAAAGTCATTATGCTTAATCAAGAGACTATAATTTCAATATATCTAGTATACCATAGCAAGACCACGGTTAATTTTTTTTTGCCTCCATCTAACTAAATTTATCTTAATTGTCTGCAATATTCCTTTTGGAGTTTCAGAATTTATGCTTTTACTAAGTGATTAGCCTAAAATAAAGAATTTCCCAAAGTGTACAATGCTATTTTCAAATAAATACCTGACATAGCCTTCAATATTCATTTTATCAGTTTCTAGAAAACCAAACATATAATTATGCCGTAAATTTAGGGTCTAAACTTAAAGTATTTTCATTCCCAACATATGCTTTCTCCATAGTAATTACATAGTGCACAGGAAATTTACAAAACATGTATTTTGGAATTCTTGTTTTGAGATGATTTTTATATTGCAAAGGAAATACCTAAGACAGCATCATGCTAAATAGATGCCTGAAACCAGCAGCAAATGAGATCCTTGGAGAACAGGAGCAATTATTTTATCTGAGGAATGCCTCAATACAACTCCATACATAGCCTTTCTGAGAATTCCAAAAATATATTCAAAAGTTTATTCATTCTATAACATGTATTGAAAGGATACTATGTGGAAGGAGATATAATCAGAGAGGGAATGGGCTGGCACTAAACACTGCAAAGACTTTGGATTTTAGTTTTAATAAGTTGGAGCTACTAACAAGTTTTAGGAGCAAAGCTACCAACTAAAGTTTTAAGAAGTATATGTAAATTATTGCTTATAATAAACTTTAAATATAAAATATAAATTAATGTCAATTTGAAAAGAATTTATTCACCGAGTACATAAACCCAGCACTTTGGGAGGCCGAGGCAGTCAGATCATGAGGTAAAGAGATCAAGACCATCCTGGCCAACATGGTAAAACCCTGTCTCTACTAAAAATACAAAAATTAGCTGGGCATCGTGGCACGCGCCTGTAGTCCCAGCTACTCAGGAGGCTGAAGTAGGAGAATCAAATCACTTGAACCCAGGGGCAGAGGTTGCAGTGAACTGAGATCATACCACTGCACTCCAGCTCTGGCGACAGAGCAAGACTCCATCAAAAAAAAAAAAAAAAAAGGAAAAAAAGAATTTATTCTAGTACTTACATGTTTGTGCTGAATATATGATAAAGAGCTACTACTTTGTTACTCTTGAAACTAAAACAAAATCATTTCTTTCTTCAATAAAAATTAACAAACATCATCGCCTTGATCTCTGCCATCTATTTTAAATAGAACTGTTTTTAAAAAATTTTTTATACCAAGATCTTCTGCTTAATAATTAGAAGTAACAATGTGAACTCTTTCTACATATCAAGAACTGTTCTAACAACTTTGCAGTTTAGAGGGAGGTATAGTAAAAAAATAAAAGCAGTTTATTAATATTCACTATGAAAATGGCTTTAGAGGAGGTATGCACCCGATTGTGTGAGTGCTTAATAGACTCTCCAGTCTTGGGTGGTTTTGTCACTGGATAATCTTCTCTAAGACTTTGAGCCAATTTTGAAGAAAATGAGGAAATAATTGTATTTATCTATGTATTTATTCAATGGTGTGTATATATGTGTGTATTGAAAACAGGTGGAAAGAGAGAAAGTTAATGAGGGTGGAAAAGGAAATGGGAACTAGATGACTGAGGAATGTGTGCAAAGACATGGAGGCCAGTGTATATGGGACTGTAACATTGTATTTATGGAAGTAGAGTTGAAGATGCTGGGTGGCCAGAAATTAAGGTAGAGTTGCAAACTGGATATGAAGAGGTTTCTATTACAGACTAATGAATTTTGGACTTATCCTTAAAGATTTGATGACCTACACAATATGCAAAACAAAGAAGTGGCATGATAATATTTGCATTTTAGGAAGATCATTCTGGCATTATTATGTCTTGGAGTGAACAGCCTAGAAGGCTGAAAATATTCAATCAGCCAAGTAAGACATTATAAAGACTTTAATTAAGGCTGTCTGGTAAAGGGGATGGGAAGTAATGGACACTAATGAGAACCATCAAAGATGCAAAACTGATGAGAGATGGTGCATGAATGGTGAGGGCAGGTGATGTCAAAGCTGCATGATTCCAGCTTATTCAGCTAGGTGCATAGTGGTTTCATTAATTGAGATAGGAAATAAAAAGGGAAGGAAAAGTGTCTGGCTAAAAGGTCAGTAAAATTAAGGATTTGATTTTACACATATTAAGTTTGAAGTGTTGTGAAGCAGTTAGCTTTTCCAGTAGGCATCATGTCTCAACGGAAAGATTTGAGCTGAAAATATAGACATGAGTTTAACAGCCTAGGCATGGAAACTGCATGAGTGTGTGCCATAAAAAAGAGAAGAAAACTGGGGCCAGAAACTTGGGACAACTAATATAAAAAGGTCATGAAAAGAAGAAAAAATCCTGAAGAAAAGAAAAAAAAAAGCCATGCATGACAGGGGTAATATCCTACAGCAGAAGGATATATTGCTTTATAAACCAAAGAAGATATCAATAGGGAAGAAGAGGATCAACACAGTCACATACTGTAGGCAGGATACAAGCAGTTGTTCTTAAATCAGAATCTTGTATTTCCAACTGAAGCCTAAAATTCTGCTGGTAGCCAGGAATCTTGTTTTTATAGCTTCCTTTTATCCTACAGAAAGCCTAGTGTATTATGTTTGTATTCAAGTGCTTAACGTGATAAGTGTAAGATAGTCTGCATCTTTATAAGTAAATATTTTTAAATGAAGTAATTAATGATATCACTTTTGTGTGTATAAGTATATATGGCATAAATACATTAACATTTTTAAGATATTTTAAATCTGTAAATATATATGGGTTATATGGCTGGGCAGGCTCATTACATTTATCTCAATAATAAGTTGTTCCTATTAGTCATGATTCTTATTGATACATTGAATAAGGTTTTTCATATTTACTCCTTATATTCAGATATACATGGGTTCTTCATTTTATGGTACAAACATGGTAATTTTAGAAATGGAATATATTCTACTTACTTACTAAATAAATATTAACTACAAATTGGCAATGGTTTGGGCAGACTCCCCTGCAGATAATCAGGAAGTTATAATTCATGAGGTTCACTTATAATAACAACTTAATATCAATAGAATGCTAGCTTATAAGTCTAGCAAAAACTTCACTAGCACTCTTAAATTAATATTTAAATTTATATGGCTTATTCCTACAGATAATTATTGTTAAGAGGATTAAAAGTGACTATTTAATATTACTTCCAGACTTATTTTGTTTTCAATATGCTGCTCTTGTTTGGGTAATGGAAATACAAAAGACATTTTAAGATGGTATTGCAATCATAATTTGTAATCTCAAATGCTCAAATGAATCTTCTGATTCAGGCTGGGCTTAACACAACAGGCTGTGGATCCAATGTGCCAAGGAGGTCATGTCTGGCTGACAAAGGAGCTACCGTTCAGCTGCAGGCAACATTTTTGTCCCCATGCTAAGGTTTTTAAATGCTGTATATCAAATACATTCACTAATGGTTACCATGGAGAATAGGAGTATTTCTTTGGGGTATAATTCATATTTATACATAATGTCAAGTATTAGACATGTGATTTTGTCTTCTGTCTTCTGTACTTACGGTATACTTGGTTTTTCCTCATGGCATTTGGTATTTTAATTAAATAATGCCTTTCTTCTTTCCGTGCTAACATGAGAAAAGTCTGACTATGTAATTGCAGGGTTCCATTTTATTTTCCTTGTTTAGATTACCACTTTATTTTAATTGTATATCTTGCAGAAAGAATTATAAGCATAAGTTTGAGATGGTTATAATTATAGTGGCATTTAGGTTAAATAGTGGAGAACATATTTTCCAAGTTTAAAAGCACACTTAGTTCTCCTAGTTTGGCGATTCAGAACATTAGACTGAAATGGGTGCTGTACTGATTGAGTTGTTATATTTTTGCTCAAAGTTTTTAAAGGGACAACCAAATAAGCTGTGTTTCTGGAAGAAAAATTTCTGAGCACATAAATTTAAAATGTTTTTTAATATGTAAAGCCAAAATGTGGAATATCAGCAACCTTTAAGTCACTCATGTATGACTTTAAATGCCTAGTACTCCTCAATAGCTCATCTGGTACTTATCTGTACAGGACCTCTCAGCTCCTTGGTGAAGGACAAAGGGGGAAAGTGCATTTCTATTCTGGCGAGTCTGTTGCTGAATCTAATTGGTAATTGATGGGGGAAAGTTCTGCTTTGTAATTCACAAGGTGGGGTGGGGAATTGTCTACTGGGAACTGTAAGTAAGGCTAGAAGGAGTCTTATTCACCCATTGTGCCCCTTTCTTAGATCGAAGTTAAAAATCGAAAGGCTGTGCTTTGTTAGAAAATAGTATCTTTAGAGATTTCCCCCCCAGAGCATTTCAAAGTTCAATGTTTAAGAATTTGGCTCTTGCATTTGTGTGAACTGGCACTCTTTTCAGCAACTTCCAGTACAAAATGTAGGAAACATGTCCTTGGATACTACCCACATTATTTTTCAGCCCAATCCTTGATGTACCCTGTATCTTCCTGGTTTTCCTAGACCTGCTCAACTCCAGGTATTAAAAAAAAAAATGCATATGCTCAAACTCCAAACTTCAGCCTTTGTCTTTCAGAATTTTCAGAGATAATCATATTCATACTTGGAACATTGGAGAGTAGATGGATTTTGGAATTAATCTCACAAGCCCAGGCTACTCCAAACCCAGAAAGCTACAAGCATTTGTTACCCACCCTTCTTTCTCCCATCCTTCCAGTAATGAGGACCTGCCAGAGAAGTGGGTTTCTTCCCAATCACTGATTAGTATTTCAATTCCCCTGCTAGGATAAGAAAATTCCTAGGAAGCTGAGGCTTTTTGCTGTGGCTTTCACAACCTAGGTTCTATCTCAGTTCTTCTGTGGGGAGTATTTATTATGCCCATAGTCAATGCCACTGGGTTTGCTTCAAACAAGAGTGAATTCCTGGAAGAAAAAAAGTGCTTGCTGCCTGACTCCTATGTATAAGTATGTTGCCAGGAGATTCCTGTCACAAAGGCCCAGCCCCCAGATCAGATACTATGATTAATAATATAAGCCTGGAAGATTCTAAGTTTGTGCTGCCTTGTCAGCCCTCACTTGAATCGGTAGCACCCCTGCTCCCACCGATGCCATTCCTATAGGTGAGGTAGACCCCTCATCACTGACCCATGCCCATTCCTGTTTAATCTCCTAAATATCATCTGTTGAAAATATACTCAGGCTTTTGGCTGAGGCTTCACTGACTATGACACTGTCAGCCACCTGATATTTTAATAAAAGATAAACAACCAGCTAAAAGAGCAAACTAACAGGACACATAGGTATGAACACTCTGTCAATGGGTAGAAGTCAAACTTATAGAAATATACATAATTTAAGATTCCAGAGCACTTCAATATAGCAGTAAAGTCATTATCTTCCCTTCCAAATCTATCTCCATCTTCCCTCATTTCAGCTGCCAGGGGATTCCTCAGCTTCTCCTTCCATCCCAAATCTGAAATGATTTTACTTTTTCACATGTTTAGTATACATATTGTTTCTCTCCTATCACAAATTTCTACTCTAAAAGCAACAGACATAATAAAACCTAGAATCTTCTTTGGTACCCATTTTCAACCTTCCCTTCCACCGAGGCATCCTAATTTGAATAGAGGAGTTTGCCTTTTGCAAATAGGTATGGGTCCAGAGAAACTGATTGCCCACCTTAGCTGATTGCAACCCATGCTCCTAACTAAATTCTGCTCGTGTATGCTCATTTTTCACGCAGCAGTATCACAAACTCAACGGTGAACTGAATTGAAGAGAACACTGCTTTATTTGGTAGAGAAAACAGAAATAAAGCAAATGTGAATAAGTGCCTTAAAAATATCTGTGTATCTGTATCTAAATCTCCGTACTCTATATCTATTTAATCTATGTATCTATATCAGAAACTTCTAGAAGAATATGTAGTTATTGTCCATTATCAGAAATAACAGTATTCACAGTCAGTAATCACAGCGAAATTCAGAATCCAGAGGATGGTGCAAAGTAATTAGTTACTGATCCCAGTGGATTGCCTTAGAGTCTGGACGGAACCCAACTTGAATGAGTGCCTAGGAGCAATTTCCCCCTTGGTCTCCATTCCTCTTTCTTTGGCTAGTCCTCTACTCTGACCTGTGGGTCATAGTTCCATATTTCTGTAATACCTTGAAATCAAGGCTAGAGTGATAAATTTGTTGTTTTATCCTGACATAATAGTAGTGGGTTCCTACATTATTCAGATTGGAGCAAATACAAGAAAACTATGTCAATACAATAACAACAAAACACAAAGTACCACCAAAAACAAAAAAAAAAAGCTTCTCTTTTGGTTATATTGATCACCTTCCTCCTATAATGTTGCACTAACTTGGTAACTTATTGTTCTAAAAGGCCACCTTGGTGGGGGAGGGGAGAAGAGGTGGAAAGAGAGTGAAGAGGACAGAGGGCTCTGTCTTGCTCAGTCTCTTTCTCCCTCTCTCTTTTCTCTCTTCTTTTTCTCATCACTGTACCTCTGCATCTTTCTCTGTGTTTACATGTAAACAAGACATCGACCAAGCACGCAGTACAGATTATAATCAAGTACACTTTACTTTTGTCCTCCTCTGTCCTTTTAAAATATAGTCAATTTTAGTAACCTTCCTCTTCCTTCCAGTGATCATTCTAGCATGTCAAATGACTTTTTTTTGCCTACTTACAGATGACACTATAGTCAGGAACTGAGTCTCAGTTTGGAAGTTACAATGTCCATTTTATGATATGAATAAAATATTTGACTTTAATTTCCTATTAGTCTTCTCTCCAGAGTCTCTGTAAGCCAATATGGTGTCTCTGCACAAATTAGAAAAAAGTGCCCTTTCCTCTGAGCAGACCCAGAATCCCCAGCCAGGTGAGAGGACTTGGCCAATGTAACATTGGCTGAATTTCAGCCCCATCTCAAAAGTTCAGGGGAATTCAGAGAACACTATAGTCAATGTTGAGGGCATACCCTACACAGCCACGCAAACACACCCCTTGTCCCTGCCCCTTTCCCACAGTGGGAAGGTGGGGGCACAGCCCCTTTGCCATTCGCTCTCTTCCTGATCACCTCCTCCCCCAAGAAACTAGCAGTTGTTTAACCTAGCAAGGTCAAAAGAGTGGAGGGAGGAAAAAAGTAAGAGGTAATACAGTACTTTATTACCTGGGCAATTCTGCACCCTGACCATGATGGTAATTCAAAACTGACCATTCATCTCATGAGTTGCTCTTGAGGGATCTTCCTAGGTTCTCTGCTGAGCCCCTTTCTCCTGAAGCTCCTTTCATCTTGACAGATGAACCTCTCTTCTGTGTGGTCATTTTAATGCCAGGGCATCCCAGGACTATAGACCCTTCTGCTGAGACCTCCTTGCCCTTCCATGAGGCCATATCTAGTGGGACACACAATGTACTCCCAACACTTCTTTCATCCTACTGACTCTCTCTAGTGTTCTGTTGACAAAAAGCATCACAATGAAAAATACTTGAAGAGATTTATTCTGAGCCAAATACGAGTAACCATGGCCTGTGACATAGCCTTCAGGAGATCCTGAGAACATGTGCCCAAGGTGGTCGGGTGCAGCTGGTTTCATACATTTTAGGGAGACAAGAGACATCAATCAAATACATTTAAGATAAACATTGGTTTGGTCCAGGAAGGCAGGACAACTCAAAGCAGGGTGGAGGGGGTACTTCCAGGTTATAGGTAAATTTAAAAATTTTCTGATTGGCAATTGGTTGAAAGAGTTTTGTATTTTTGTTTTGTTTTGTTTTTTTGAGACAGAGTCTCACTCTTGTTGCCCAGGCTGGAGTACAATGCTTGATCTTGGCTCACCACAACCTCTGCCTCCCGGGTTCAAGTGATTATCCTGCCTCAGCCTCCCGAGTAGCTGGGACTACAGGCCTGCACCACCATGTCCGGCTAATTTTGTATTTTTAGTAGAGACAGGTTTTCTCCATGTTGGGCAGGCTGGTTTCAAACTCCCAACCTCAGGTGATCCGCCCACCACAGCCTCCCAAAGTGCTGGGATAACAGGCGTGAGCCACTGCACCTGGCCAAAAGAGTTATTATCAATAGAAAGGAATGTAAATGTTTCTTATCAGACATAAGGTCTGTGTTGATGTTAATGCTAGAGGGTATAATGAGGCATATTTGGCCCCCACTTCCTGTCATGGTCTGAGCCAGTCTTTCAGGTTAAATTTTAGAGTGCCATGCCCAAAAGGAAGTCCATTCAGATGATTGGGGGGCCTTAGAATTTTATTTTTGGTTTACATTTCCAAATATACAAATGCATCTCTTGTCCAGACAAACCGCAAGACTTAAGACCAGCAGATCCCGATGCAGTAGTGCTCTCCTCACTCAGCCACCAATTAGTATTTTTCTTGCTCTCTATATTTCCCAGACATAAGTCAGATCCCAATCAGCAATCCATTCCATCTTTCACAGGTAGGATTCAGGCCTCAATCCTTTGCGTCTCTCAACTTCAGCAAATACATTTCAAGGCATTCCAAGTATCCCTTCTTGAAGCTCTCTAGCTAGCCTTAGTGTCAGAAGGTAGCAACACATCCACCCCCTCCCCTGAAAATGTATGGGATGGGGCGGCAAAACACAGCAAGGCAACTGCTATCTCCAAATAAATCTCTTCATTGATCACTTCACAAAATTATGCTTCTTTAAAAATGATCTTTTAGCCAGGCACCCATAGTCCCAGTTACTAGGGAAGTTAATCTGGGAGGATCACCTGAGCCCAGGAGTTCAAAACCAGTCTGGGCAACATAGCGAGACCATGTCTAAACACCAAATATATAAATAAATAACAAAATAATCTTTTAGACTCTCCAAGTGGATATAAGATTCAAAATACGAAGTAAGCTTTGGCTAATTTCTTTAACATTCTGCATGAGTCACTTTGTCTCTTTCAGTTGGTCCCTCATATTGGTAATATAGTCATAAATGAGTTGATATCATAAATGAGACCCTTTCTTAAATACTGTTTATAAAACTTGCCATATGTGTCAGTCAGCAGAGATAAAAATAACCCAAACATCTCAGTGGTTAAAAGAAAAAAAGGTGTATACTTTGCCCCTGGTTTGTGATCCTAGGCTGAGGGCCCTACTCTGCATTGTCATCACCTTTACTCCCATTATATGAAACACTCACAGCTTCAGTGGTGGAGGAAATGAGGAACATACTACAGGATATGCTAGATCTTATTTATCTGGCTAAAGAAAGTTACGTGAGCTCGCTTGAGTTCAACTGGTAGAAAAGCATCATTCTCTTGCAGGGAGGACACTAGATATTGGTAAATTCTATTACACCACCCTAGGCATCCCAGCCTTGGGGAGAAACTGGAGAGAAGGCATTCAGTAGTTTAGTCAATGATTATATAAAAGAATGACAAAGGATCAGATATGAGCCAGGAAAGAAAATTTCACCAATTCTGTCTTGGGGCTTTCACACCAGGTAGAGTGGCTATTTTAAGTTTCTTTTATAAAATATTATTTTCTTTCAAATATTGTAAATATACTTTTTTCAACGGTTATGCCATCTGGTGGTACTTAATGAGATTAGGATATAACATATAGGCCAGAGAAAAAATAACAATTATTAAACACCTCTTATGTGTTTACCTAACAAGTGTGGGCATGTTACATCACTTTATGTGGTTAACATAGTTAATTCTTTCCAAAAAATCTTATGAAGGAGTAACTATCATCCCTGTTTAAATATAAGGAAACTGACATTTTAGAGATTATGTGGTTGCTAAAATTTAGCAAATTGGTTAAGAGACAGAATTCAAACTCAGTTCTTAATCCAAAGCCTTTGGCCCTTCCATTAGAGCACCAGTGGTTGATTTCCTGGGACTTTGACTCTTTTAGTCATCTAATATTGTTCCTAGAGGACTCTTCAGGCTGAACTTCCTAATCAGGATTCAGTAAGTCAACTTAAGTAACAGCAGGGGAATTTTTGTTTTTGTTTTGGTCCGAGTGGTTGTTTTGTTTTAAACACTAGTTTATGAGCCAGCTAATGGTAATTTTATTATTCAAAAAGCTACTTATTGTGCACTGGAATATGCAGAAACATCACATACTCTGCTTTCCAAGAAAGAGTCATTGAACTGAATATAAATTAGTAAGAGGCTGGGAAACAGAAGATTCCAGCAGACTCTACCCCTACTCTTTGACTATGCTCCCTTTGAGTGCCATAGGCCTAGCCAAAGAAGAAAATCATGAAATTGTGGAGTTAGAAGGGAATTGGGGCTCATATGTCAAAATCTGCATATTCAACAATTGAGGATACTGAAAGGTTGAAAGTCCAAAGAAAGTTAGTGATTATGGTAGTCAACTCCAAAATAACCATCAATGATCTTTATTTCCTGGTATTATGCCCTTGAGCAATCCCTTCTCATACTGAATCAAGGCTGGCTGTGTGGTCAATAGACTATGGTAGATATGACCATGTATGAAGTTCAACTCTGGCTCATAAAGCTACTGGAGCTTTTGGCTTAGTCTCTGATCACTTGCTCCAGGTAAATTCAGCCACCATCTTGTGAAGACACTCAAAAAGCCCTGTGGAGAGGCTCACATGGAGAGGATGCACCTTGTTAGCACCAACTTACCAGCCATATAGTGGGATCCCTGGGGAATGGATCCTGCAGCCCCAGTCAAGCCTTCAGATGACTGCCAGCCCAGCTGACCTCTAACTACACCTCATGAAAAACTGAGCCAGACCTCAACTCAGCTCCTCACAAATTTTTGGCCTACATATCCTGACCTTATGGGATAGTAAATGACCATTGTAATTTTAGGTCATTAAGTTTTAGGATGCTTCATTATGCAGCAATAGATAAGTAATATGAAGACTTACTCTGGGACAGAAAGGTCATTGGAAGAGATATACAAATAGATTTCTGTTCATATTCTGAACTCCAAATATACTTTGTTTTTTCCATGGCCAGTGCCACCATTCTCACAGTTATATCTGCTCTGTTTAATCTTCATATTGTCCTTCTCTCCAGCATATTTGTTATAGCATAAAATTATCCTATCACTTTTTCTACTTAAATTAACAAAACTGTTTTTCCTGTGTCCCAATATTCTCCAGCTAGCAACTCATTTCTAGGATCTTCTTTATAGAAACACCCTTCCTTAGAGTTATCTGTAATAGCTGTTTCTGTTTCCTTGTTTCTAATTCTTTTTAAATCCACCTCACTCATTCTGTTATCCACACTTTTCTGAAAGCATTTATAAGATTACCAGTGACCTCATGTTGCCAAACCCAATGGACAATTCTCAAGACATATTTTATTCAATTTTTCCATAGTACTAGAGCTGATAATAGATTTCTCCTTGAAATAATTTCTTCACGAGGGCTGCTGGACACCACATATTACCGAATGATCTCATTCAAGTTGCTTAATCTTCCTCCTACTGCTCACCTCTAAATGTCAGAGTGCCCAGGACTCAGTTTGGATTTTTCTTTTATCAAATTCACTCTCAGTGATTTCAGCAAGGCCCATGGCTGACAACTCCAGAATAGAGATCTATATTCCCAAACTCTCCACCAAGCTCTAGGTCAGTGTATCCAATAACCTGATTGATAGCTACACTCAGATGTCTAGTTGGCCACACACATTTAATATGAACAAATCTAAATTCTTGATTTCCCACCCTAAGCCTGCTGTCCTCAGCCTTTTACACTTCAGCAAGTAGAGTAAGCAAATCTGGTCCTCTCCAGTCTTTTCCACCTCCTAGAGTGAGAAACAACACTGGAGTCATAATTATGTTCTATGGTTCTTACATAATCCCACCCCCGAACCATCAGCAATTTATGCAATATCTACCTCTTAAATACCTCCTCAGTAAGACTGCTTACAACTTTGATAGTCACTGCCCCAGCTCAGCCACCTTCCTATCTCCCTTGGAGCAGGATGCTGGTTCCAACTGGTCCCCTTGCATGCCTTCTTACAACCTCACAATCTATTTTCTGCACAACAGTTAAAGGAATCCTTAAAACTCTCCACAGGCTTTCCACCATAGGAGGAATAAAAGTCAAACTGCAGCCTAAAAGGCCCCAGATGAGCTGGTTTATCTAACGCTAATCTCATTTTCCTGCCTCATCCCTCTCTGGGATCACTGGCCTTCCTATACGGGAAACACACAAAACAAAACCCCACGTCAAGTCTGCGCACATGACATTGACTGGAAATGATCTTCTCCCATATATTTACATGCTTCACTTTCCAATTTCCATCAAACTCTCCTCAAAAAAAAAAAAAAAAATCCTCTTTCAAGCAGGCTTTCATTAACCACCTTATGTGAAAATACCATCCATCTCCTTCACTCTCTATACCTTATCATAATTTAATATTCTTCATGGCATTTATAACCTTCTGTCATATTACCTTGCTCATTTATTTTATTGTCTGTATTCCCTACCATAACATGAACCCTATGAGTACAGGAACTTTTTCCCCGCTTTGCCACTGTCTAAACTAGTGCCTGATATATAATATGTTTTTGATAAATTATATTTTCGAATGAATAAAGGAAGGAAGGATTGCTTGAGTTCTCGAGAGTCCTATATTTTGAACTGTTCATCACTGTTTCTCTAGCACTGAGTCCTGTGGCACATATGGGTGTTCCATAAATATTTATCAAATAGCTAAATGGGAATATGATTGTCATGGAAACAGATACACATCCAGAGTGAATGGGGAGCCCATGCCTTGCCTGATGCCCCAATGCCGTCGCTCCCTCTGAGTACTGCCTAACTCATACAGTACCCTGTATGAGTTTAATTTTTCACTGGTGAAGCATTTCTGAGGAGTACATGTTGAGGAAGTGATCGAATGTCGTAAGGAACAAATGAAGGGATACTTGGTCCCAGAAACTATTTTAAGAAGAGATGGCTTCCAATCCTGCATATAGCAGAATAAAGAAGATAAAAAGTGAGAAGAGGAATTGGATTTGGTCACTAGGAAGTGATGAATAATTTCTAAAAGAAAAGAATGTAATAGAAAGTCAAGGAAGAAGCAAGCTCACATTAAGATTAAATGAGTTAAATATGGTGGTATTAAAATCTGACAAAATTTAGATGAGGTTAGCAGAAAAGAAAAGGAGAGTTACTTAAGTGAGTAGAGGATTCATTTAACATTATCTTATGTTCAGGACTGATGATTCCTAAGCTTGTTTCTATGTGGGGATTGTAATAACTATTAATCTCTATATTTTGAAATGAATATATCTTTTCCTAAATATTTACAGAGTCCTGGGTAACAGATTCACAATATTTAACAACAGCAAAAGTCCTTTCTAGAGAAAAGTTGTGATCTAAATTCATCAGAGATTTTTGTCCTAACTTGTCTCAAGCCTTGTTCTGTTTAAATAACAAATCAATAATTGGTGATAATTAATAATTACAATTTAAAAAGGGACTTTTCAATATACTTTAGAACCACTGATACTAAGCCATGTAAATATAATAAATGAGAAATAATACTTTGTAGTTACCATTTAGCTTTTATTTTATGACCAATAATATTTCAGAAACATTAACTTACTAATTCTTCCAATACCACCTCAATATTAATCACAACTCCAGTAAGATAATTTATTGTAGGATATTTTTCTTATTTTATTACTTGAGTAATATGAATTTTTAAAATTCAATGACACAAAAAGTTGTCAAATATTAAATCTCTTATGCCCACAAATTAACATTTGCCATGCAGTAGAAAGTAATTTTTATGATGGTTTTTAATTTTTCACTGGTGAAGCATTTCTGATGTCCTTATTCTATTTTTTTCTTAGAAATAAATGATCAACTAAGTAAGCAATAGAAACACAAGCTTTCTGTTCTTAAGGATTTATTAAACATATAAACCTTATTGAAACAATATGTGATACATATATACCATAAATGTTATTACCAACTTGCAGAATGCTGCATCTAGAACTAGAGTCTAAGTATTGGGGGAAAGTCGGTGTGTTTATAAGCACCTTAATTTATCTGTAACCCATATTTTGTATTTTTTTAACTTTATGAAACTTTATTTTTTGATATTGTAAGGAAATTTATATTATCTGCATATTTTAACATATATATTCTAAATGCACATTTATTGAACAAATACTCTGAAGTTTCTATTAAATGTGGTTTCAGATTTGTTATATTTTATTATGCATAATGAAATTACTGCACTTGTAGTAATTTCCCAAGTGAGGCCTGGGATAAAACAAATATTTTGCCTCTATTCTATTGTAATTTTAAATCTACTTTTTTTTTTTTTTTTTGAGACGAAGTCTCTCTCTGTCACCCAGGCCGGAGAGCAGTGGTGCGATCTCCGCTCACTGCAACCTCCGCCTCCCGGGTTCACGCCATTCTCCCGCCTCAGCCTCCGGAGTAGCTGGGACTACAGGCGCCCACCACCACGCCCGGCTAATTTTCGTAATTTTGGTAGAGACGGGGTTTCACCGTGTTAGCCAGGATGGTTTCGGTCTCCTGACCTCGTGATCCGCCCACCTCAGCCTCCCAAAGTGCTGGGATTACAGGCATGAGCCACCGCGCCCGGCCACGTTACTTTAATTTTACAAAAATGACTGAAATATATTTACCTGAAATCTTCAGATAAAATGCAAAAGAGATGTTTGTGTTTATTAGTTTTTCTTATTAAATGTATGGATAAATATCTCAGATGTTCACATACATGCTAGCTGACATTTGATCATTTTGTGGGGAAAGATCGCCTGATCCCAAGTACGGTACTATCTTATTTATTCATTATTCAGTCAGGTAGAAACTGCTACCCACCTCCTTTTACAAATAGAACAACTAAGTTGCCCAAAGATACATATTTGGTAAGAAGCTGAGGCAAGACTCAAACATGTTCTTCTGACTATGGGTCTAAACTATTCAACTCTGCCTGGCCTCTCAATTGCTTCATGATAATCCCAGAACCCTAATAGTATGGTTGTGCACAGCTAGGAGTAAAATGCAAAATAGTCATGACTTTAACAAGATGGAGTGTCTTTATCTTTCTGCTGAAAGGTGCTCTGCTCGAGAGAGTCCCTGGCTGAAACAGCTAATCCTTTCAGTTCCAGAAGCAGCAGCCCTTTCTCCTTTATTACTCCGCCTGTGCATGGAAACATGATATCTTGATTTGCATGATCATGTGCCACGCTAAAAAATTAAAGGGCACTGGGGTAGGAAATCTGCAGTCTCTGATGCACACGTACCAAAAGAGTAGATAGATAGATACATAAAAAGATAACCTGGAAGTTATCCAATTCCAAGATTTAAAATTTGACATCATTTCACAGTTAGGGTTGTAATGAAATAATAAGCTTGGTTATTTTCCTTTACCAAGACTCAAAATAATTTTTCTTTGACACAAGTAAAAGTCTCCTTGTTTTACTTTCTTTTTTATGTTGGTTTTCATTTTATTTGCTTGTTTGGGAATAATAAAGGAACGGCAATGCTCTGACCCACTGCATATAGAAAAACAGCCGGTATCGAGAAAGCTCACAGGGAGCACCACCTCCCCATTCGGTCCTTGCTTCCTTTGAGCTGTGGCCAGAACACCTGGAAGAAGCTAGTAGCCCCCTCCAGGCTGAAGGGGCTAGCGGGAAGACTGAGGAAGTATAAGCTGTCGCTTTACTCCCCAATGCCAACTTCGATGCAAGATGGCCCCAACGTTTTTTAAATGTCGTTTCTGTTTTGGAGCTATTTATTACAATTGGTTTCTTAGTCCTAAGGAAACAGAAAAGTTAACTCCAAATAGCAAGGTATGTTTTGGGCCCCGTAGGAACATGCAGGGAAGAGAGATGAACAATTGTCATACCTAAAACACTTCTAAATTTATAATGTTTTTTCTTTCCTGCACCAGCTGATTTTTCTTCATTTAGGCTACAGAACTCCGATGGTATTCCGGGTATTGATAGAGCAACTTTTGTGAGACAGAGACTGTGTTGCCTTTTTGCAACACTTTGCTTTTTCCTATTAAATATCAGCCCTTAAAACTTTCCTTACTGGAATGGGAAGTGGATTAAAATAATCCAAAATAAATTAAGTAGCAATAGCAAGTTAACACTAGATCACAATCTCTGCCAGACATTCTAACAAAGGTTTCATTCTATGCAGTCATGAAAATAATGTGGTCAAGAAAATTTTGTGTTAACTTCTACTTGCCACAGGGAGGCTTTAATTAACCTGTCTTACGAGTCACTGAGCCTTTATGAATTCCATTTATATTGCATTGTGGGAATATGACATTTACTTCTTCACACTTTTTTTTTACTTTACTTTTTTCAGTTATTGCCATGAAAAAAGTTTATTGAGCAAATGTCACTGCAAAAGAAGCCATGGCCTAGTAGTGGCCATACCTATTTGACTGCTAAAAAAAAGCACCTTAATACCTAAGTGATGGATTGTTAGGTGCAGGAAACCACCATGGCACATGTTTACCTATGTAACAAACATGCACATCCTGCACATGTACCCCGGAACTTAAAAAATAAATGAAATATAATAATAATAAAAAAAGAAAAGACCTGGAGTTTCCTAATAGGGCCTTTAATACCCAGAAATGGTATCCTGATCTTGTTAATTAAGTGACTTGCAAAACAAATGCATCAAACCCAAAGGAAAAAGCCAGGTTGGTCATTTGCAGAAATCCCAGAATTAGAGGCTGGGAAGGGTAAGAGAGAAGAGGACAGGGAGAAGTTGGTTAATTGATAAAAAAAAATCACAGCTAGGTAGGAATAACGTTTTCTTGTTCTATAGCACTGTAGGGTGAATGTAGTTAATAATTTATTGTATATGTTCAGAAAGCTAGAAGAGAGGATTTTGAATGATCTCAACACAGAGAAATGAAAAATGTTTGAGGTGATAGCTATTGTAATTCCCCTGATTTGATCATTAGACATTGTATAAATGTATAAAATCACTGTGTGCCCCACAATATGTACAATTATTACATGTCAACTGAAAACAAAAGGACAAAAGTCTTTGAATGCTCAAAAGTAGCACAGAGTTATTTTCATCTATTAAAGACAAAATCCACACTTCCTTGATTTTGATATTCATAACACGAAAGATGTCAAGCTCATGCTTGATCTCTCTTAGGTACAATAATATATGTCAGTGACCAGTAAAGTCACTGCGTCAAAGCCATCTGCACAGCTCCAATTCCCTCAACACCTGGTACAGAGAAGGTTATTTTGTGTATATCCAGAGTCTGACAATCTTTCAGTAATTAGGACAAATTTTCACTGGTTTGTGGATACTGAGAAAAGAAAAATATTATGAGTGTTTCATGAAATGCACCATGACCTTGCACTAAGATAATTTTATTTTCTTATAAGATAAAAAAGAAAAGGCAAATACAATTTAAAGAAGTAAAATAAGGGCAAATCTCAACGCAATGCATAAAGTAAATATGAGGTGAAATACAAAGGCTGGAAGAATTGATTATGCCACTTGGTTGCTCTTCTGAGGAAGATAAAAGAGGCAGGGACATGCTCTGCTACTCCTTGTGTGTAGAAGTCGCGCTTGGAAACAACACACTGACATCTCTGCCATGCAGATCACTCCGATAAGCTAGTGTGCTGAATCAACTATTATCATTTAGGAACTTCCTGGGCCCACTGATTGACAGCTACACAGTGTATCTTAATGGTCTTTTTGCAAGCCAATTTTAATGAAAAATAAAATTACATGGAAGAGAATGGGATCAAAAGTAAAAAAGAAAAAGTATCAAAAATGTTTCACCAGTCATTTCACATGAAAATAGCAAGGACTCTAGTCCTAGGTAGATGATGAAAAAAATCCTGTGACCACTCTCGTGTTTAGACACTTTACCAGAAACACTGGCAGAGTACGTGTAATATTAGACGTTTAGCACAGTGGTTTCTTTGTGACTGCTTTCATTAATAGATTCTTATCTTAGACTCTTTCTTAATGATCACAAACCATCATTGGCCCAGATATGAACCTCATAGACCAGATCACCATCAGCTCGTTGACATTTGACTGATTACCAATTCTCAGCACACACATCAGAAATCAAGTGGTTAACAATTTTATTTGTATTTTACACACATTCTTGCTACTACTCCAAACTCAAAAGCTCTTCAGCTCACAAAAACAGTTACTCTTTCTAGCATGTTCTGTTCGAGAATTCAAGGGCATTCAGTGCCTCATCTCAGCCCATAACAAGAGCCAATATTAAAAAAAAAAAATCAAACTTCTGCTAAAGGTTCACAATATTCATGCCTTTTAAGGAAAGTTCCAGATGCATCAGAAAAGGTAAAGAGTTATCAAACTTTCTGGAGATTTTTAACTTAATACTTCTATTTCAGTAATTTCAAATATTAATTTAATGAAGAGCTTTTATGGGTCTTGATGAAAGAAGGGTTAACAGATTTATTTTAATATTCTATTTTCTGTAAAGAAAAAAGTAATACTGATGATACTATTTATAATTTATGTCTCACATACTTCTATTAATAATTTAATATGACTTCAAGAAGTAGAGTCAGTGGTATATGTAAGAACAAAATAGGCCAAGCATGGTGGCTCATGCCTGTAATCCCAGCACTTTGGGAGGTGAAGGTGAGAGGATCACGAGGTCAGGAGATCGAGACCATCCTGGCTAACACGGTGAAACTCCATCTCTACTAAAAATACAAATAATTAGCCGGGCGCGGTGGCGGGCGCCTGTAGTCCCAGCTACTCGGGAGGCTGAGGCAGGAGAATGGTGTGATCCCGGAAGGCGGAGCTTGCAGTGAGCTGAGATCATGCCACTGCACTCCAGCCTGGGTGACAGAGCGAGACTCTGTCTCAAAAAAAAAGGAACAACAAAATACATTGTTTGAAGACAATAGAAGCTGACTGAGATATGGGTACTTGAAAGGCCAATATTTTGGCAATGTCGTGACAGTGGCTTTCTTTAAATCTGTATTAAACATTCATTAAGAAAAAATGCTGAGTACTTTGTGGAGGAAAAGGTGTTGATTGCAATGCTTACCTCCCTTTTCTCTCTATTGTTATCCTTAATTCTTCCATTCAAGCCCAAATTCACATGCTGTCTGTTTAGCAAAGCAAGACTAGAGGTTAACTGGTCCCACACATCTTAAAAGAGTTTACCATCTATTGTCACTTAAGAATCCTCCGTGAGTATCTCACTCCCTTCAAACCCCAAACACCTTATTTCTTATAAACCTATACACTACTCATCTGGTTTACCGTAAGTCAAATTATTACTACCTCATTTTTGCAATGAAATGTTCTTTTGGCACCATTTATAGTGTCCCCTGGGCAATTAGCCTTTGCCAAGTTCTTTAATACAGCTTCTGGGATCCAAACTACAGGAATGGCCACCATGAGGTTCAGGAAATTTGACGCCAAAATATGGCAGCTTGGCATTTGAGAAGACAACAGAAGCAAGAAAACCTCTCTTACCTCTTTACTGCCATTTTCCCCTGAAGCAGGTCATGAAAACATTCTCTGATCTTCCTCTAAAATAGGTCATAAACAGTATTGCAAATGGAAAATAAAAAGTATAAATACATAAAATAAAATAGGTCACAAGACCTTTTTCCAGAGGGGCCCATTCCTATAGTCAGAGGAAAGGAATGAAGACACAGGAACACAGAGAAGAATCTGAACAAACAGACCTTGCTAAGTCCTCCCCTCTCCAAGTTATTACCATTAGATTATACCCTATTTTATCCAATCACTTGTACACAGCTGTCTGCTCTTCATGAAACCTAAGCATAAAAATACACAATTTTCCCTTTTTTGGGTGGTCTTCATTGCTGAAGGCTCCCGTGTCATATAACTTATATTAAATAAATTTGTATGCTTTCCTTTTATTACTCTGTTTTTTTATTATTGATGCCTCAGCCACGAGCCTTGCAATGGGTAAGGAAAGATACTACCTTTTGTCTCTTACAACACCCGTAAATGTTACTGGGCTTGTTGACCAGAAAAATAAAGAAGCTATTAAAACAAGATATATATTTAAAAAGAAATCAGGTACAGAAATTAAAGAAATTGAAATTAACCAAATAATAGAATGACCCATGTCATACTTTGCTTTCTTCCAACAGCCGACCCTGAGACAAGGATTCAGGGCAAGTGGTTCATTTGAGGGGCGAAGGGAACACCCACAAGAAAAAAGGAATAAAGGGATGTGAAAGAAGGAAGGGAAAACAATTAATAAAGGGCTACATTATCTAGCCAGCCATCACCGCAGGTGACTAAACTTAATCTTCAAAGGGACACTTGAGAGCCAATGGAAAATACATAACATCAGAGTAAAACTCTCCAGGGAGCCAGGAAGGTGGGGTAATAGTATATCAGCTCTTATCAGTCATTGGTTGAGGGTTGCTGACAGAGGTATCAATTCCTCTGCACTTTCAGCATGCCAAACAAGAGACGATGTGGGCCATAGCTGCATAAGAAAGCCTACAGGCTGAGGCATGCTGCCCAATAGAGAAGAAAGGGCACCAAATACTGATGAGACATTAAATCATTAAATGCTTCTCTACAGAGGCCTTATGGGGCCTAATGAAAACATAGACTAGAGATACAAATGGATTAAATGCTCGAATTTGAATCTATAAAAGTAAAAGACTAATCAGCCATACCATGGCTAGGTTATGTCTCTAAGCCACTGAAAACACATTCTTTATTTTTTCAAAATGTCGTTAGTATTTACTGAAATGAAAATATATGCCTCGTCAGAAAACATGGCACATTAGATGTCATGCCCTACTGTAAAGGAAATGAGGTTTTTAATAGTTCAGGGAGACAAGAGACTCCTCAATTCAAATTTCCCCATCACAACTGGATAAAGAAAATGCATACAGAGAAAGTAGCCACTGACTTCTCAGCCTTTAAGCATACAGCTGTATGAATTGGGGGTCTAACTTCAATTCCTGGGGAATCAGAAGTCTTTAAATGTCTAAAATAAATGTCTATTTTTGGAAGCCCCAGTGGAAAGCCAACAGTGGGGGAATCCCCTGAGGCAGAACAGTTCCACAGGATGTTCAGAGCCAGGCCTGTGAAGGGGAGAACAATTCACACCCCAGTGCTGCATCTGCTCTCAGCCTAAAAACAGAACCACACCTACCACTTCTGTCCATCTGCCACCCACAACAATGCTTAGTTCCTTTCGAAATAAAGCGTACATGCTCATGTTATAGAAACAATTTAAAAATAATTAGAGAAAAACACATTTCTTTAATGTGATTTTATTTTTCTGAGACATAATTTTGGAGGCTAATACATACAAGTATATCAAACTAAAAGATCAGATAATGTGGTCAGTGAAATGATTGAACTTAAAACAAAAATTTGTGTTAAAAATATGATATCTGACATTCTCGCCAAATCACTCACTATAAATTTCTTAATAATAGCTTCAGATTTACTTTTGGTTCAGTAACTTTTGTATCTACTACAAATAATTTAAGGAAAATATTAGTCTGGATTTTAAAAATTTATTCAAGAAGCTAAAACTTAAAAAACAATCAAACAAACAAACACAATGATTGTTTGGGAACTGCCAGAAGAGTTATCATTGCCATTCTAAAACCAGAAGATAAATCAAGGTGTCCTCTAAATTTATTACTAGCCATGGTTGGTAGCCATAAGTGCCTGATTACCACATCTATTAGTTAGCTATTGCTACATATCAAATTAGCTAAAATATTAGGTGGCTTAAAGCATTAATAATTACTTATTTTCACTCATAATTTCATTTTTATTTTTTATGTATTGTTTATTTTAAGTTCTATGGTACCTGTGCACAACGTGCAGTTTCGTTACATATGTATACATGTGCCATGTTGGTGTGCTGCACCCATTAACTCGTCATTTACATTAGGTGTATCTCCTAATGCTATCCCTCCCCCTTCCCCCCACCCCACAAGAGTCCCCCATGTGTGATGTTCCCCTTCCTGTATCCAAGTGTTCTCATTGTTCAATTCCCACCTATAAGTGAGAACATGCGGTGTTTGGTTTTTTGCCCTTGCATTAGTTTGCTGAGAATGATGGTTTCCAGCTTCATCCATGTCCCTACAATGGACATGAACTCATCATTTTTATGGCTTCATAGTATTCCATGGTGTGTATGTGCCACATTTTCTTAATACAGTCTATCATTGTTGGACATTTGGGTTGGTTCCAAGTCTTTGCTATTATGAGCAGTGCCACAATAAACATAGGTGTGCATGTGTCTTTATAGCAGCATGATTTATATTCCTTTGGGTATATACCCAATAATGGGATGACTGGGTCAAATGGTATTTCTAGTTCTAGATCCTCGAGGAATCGCCACACTGTCTTCCACAATGGCTGAACTGGTTTACAGTCCCACCAACAGTGTAAAAGTGTTCCTATTTCTCCACATCCTCTCCAGCACCTGTTGTTTCCTGACTTTTTAGTGATCACCATTCTAACTGGTGTGAGATGATATCTCTTTGTGGTTTTGATTTGCATTTCTCTGATGGTCAGTGATGGTCCTGTGTCTGTTGGCTAGATAAATGTCTTCTTTTGAGAAGTATCTGTTCATATCCTTCATCCACTTTTTGACGGGGCTGTTTTTTTCTTGTAAATTTGTTTGGGTTCTTTGTAGATTCTGGATATTAGCCCTTTGTCAGATGGGTAGATTGCAAAAATTTTCTCCCATTCTGTAGGTTGCCTGTTCACTCTGATGGTAGTTTCTTTTGCTGTGCAGAAGCTCTTTAGTTTAATTAGATCCCATTTATAAATTTTGGCTTCTGTTGCCATTGCTTTTCGTGTTTTAGACATGAAGTCCTTGCCCATGCCTATGTCCTGAATGGTATTGCCTAGGTTTTCTTCTAGGGTTTTTATGGTTTTAGGTCTAACATTGAAGTCTTTAATCCATCTTGAATTACTGTTTGTATAAGGTGTAAGGAAGGGATCCAGTTTCAGCTTTCTACATATGGCTAGCCAGTTTTCCCAGCACCATTTATGAAATAGGAAATCCTTTCCCCATTGCTTGTTTTTGTCAGGTTTGTCAAAGATCAGATAGTTATAGATGTGTGGTATTATTTCTGAGGGCTCTGTTCTGTTCCATTGGTCTCTATATCTGTTTTGGTACTAGTACCATGCTGTTTTGGTTACTGTAGCCTTGTAGTATAGTTTGAAGTCAGGTAGCATGATGCCTCCAGCTTTGTTCTTTTGGCTTAGGATTTACTTGGCAATATGGGCTGTTTTTTGGTTCCATATGAACTTTAAAGTAGTTTTTTCCAATTCTGTGAAGAAAGTCATTGGTAGCTTGATGGGGATGGCATCGAATCTATAAATGACCTTGGGCAGTATGGCCATTTTCATGATATTGATTCTTCCTATCCATGAGCATGGAATGTTCTTCCATTTGTTTGTGTCCTCTTCTATTTCGTTGAGTAGTGGTTTGTAGTTTTCCTTGAAGAGGTCGTTCACATCCCTTGTAAGTTGGATTCCTAGGTATTTTATTCTCTTTGAAGCAATTGTGAATGGGAGTTCACTCATGATTTGGCTCTCTGTTTGTCTGTTATTGGTGTATAAGAATGCTTGTGATTTTTGCACATTGATTTTGTGTCCTGAGACTTTGCTGAAGTTGCTTATCAGCTTAATGAGATTTGGGCTGAGACGATGGGGCTTTCTAGATATACAATCATGTCATCTGCAAACAGGAACAATTTGACTTCCTCTTTTCCTAATTGAATACCCTTTATTTCTTTCTCCTGCCTGATTGCCCTGGCCAGATTTCCAACACTATGTTGAATAGGAGTGGTGAGAGAGGGCATCCCTGTCTTGTGCCAGTTTTCAAAGGGAATGCTTCCATTTTTTGCCCATTCAGTATGATATTGGCTGTGGGTTTGTCATAGATAGCTCTTATTATTTTGAGATACGTCCCATCAATACCAAATTTATTGAGAATTTTTAGCATGAAGGGCTGTTGAATTTTGTCAAAGGCCTTTACTGCATCTATTGAGATAATCATGTGGTTTTTGTCTTTGGTTCTGTTTATATGCTGGATTACATTTATTGATTTGCGTATATTGAACCAGCCTTGCATCCCAGGGATGAAGCCCACTTGATCATGGTGGATAAACTTTTTGATGTGCTGCTGGATTTGGTTTGCCAGTATTTTATTGAGGATTTTTGCATCGACGTTCATCATGGATATTGGTCTAAAATTCTTTTTTGTGTGTGTGTCTCTGCCAGACTTTGGTATCAGGATGATGCTGGCCTCATAAAATGAGTTAGGGAGGATTCCCTCTTTTGCTATTGATTGGAATAGTTTCAGAAGGAATGGTATCAGCTCCTCCTTGTACCTCTCGTAGAATTCAGCTGTGAATCCATCTGGTCCTGGACTTTTGTTAGTTGGTAAGCTATTAATTATTGCCTCAGTTTCAGAGCCTGTTATTGGTCTATTCAGAGATTCAACTTCTTCTTGGTTCAGTCTTGGGAGGGTGTGTATGTCGAGGAATTTATCCATTTCTTCTAGATTTTCTAGTTTATTTGCATAGAGGTGTTTATAGTATTCTCTGATGGTAGTTTGTATTTCTGTGGGATCAGTGGTGATATCCCCTTTATCATTTTTTATTGCGTCTATTTGATTCTTCTCTCTTTTCTTCTTTGATAGACTGTCTAGCTAGCAGTCTATCAATTTTGTTGATCTTTTCAAAAAACCAGCTCCTGGATTCATGGATTTTTTGAAGGGTTTTTTGTGTCTCTATCTCCTTTAGTTCTGCTCTGATCTTAGTTATTTCCTGCCTTCTGCTGGCTTTTGAATGTGTTTGCTCTTGCTTCTCTAGTTCTTCTAATTTTGATGTTAGGGTGTCAATTTTAGATCTTTCCTGCTTTCTCTTGTGGGCATTTAGTGCTATAAATTTCCCTCACACACTGATTTAAATGTGTCCCAGAGATTCTGGTATGTTGTGTCTTTGTTCTCGTTGGTTTCAAAGAACATCTTTATTTCTGCCTTCATTTCGTTATGTACCCAGTAGTCATTCAGGAGCAGGTTGTTCAGTTTCCATGTAGTTGAGTGGTTTTGAGTGAGTTTCTTAATCCTGAGTTCTAGTTTGATTGCACTGTGGTCTGAGAGACAGTTTGTTATAATTTCTGTTCTTTTACATTTGCTGAGGAGTGCTTTACTTCCAACTATGTGGTCAGTTTTGGAATAGGTGTGGTATGGTGCTGAGCAGAGTGTACATTCTGTTGATTTGGGGTGGAGAGTTCTGTTGATGTCTATTAGGTCTGCTTAGTGCAGAGCTGAGTTCAATTCCTGGATATCCTTGTTAACTTTCTGTCTCGTTGATCTGTCTAATGTTGACAGTGGGGTGTTAAAGTCTCCCATTATTATTGTGAGGGAGTCTAAGTCTCTTCATAGGTCTCTAAGGACTTGCTTTATGAATCTGGGTGCTCCTATATTGGGTGCATATACATTTAGGACAGTTAGCTCTTCTTGTTGAATTGATCCCTTTACCATTATGTAATGGCCTTCTTTGTCTCTTTTGATATTTGTTGGTTTAAAGTGTGTTTTATCAGAGACTAGGATTGCAACCCCTGCCTTTTTTTGTTTTCCATTTGCTTGGTAGATCTTCCTCCATCCCTTTATTTTGAACCTGTGTGTGTCTCTGCATGTGAGATGGGTTTCCTGAATACAGCACACTGATGAGTCTTGACTCCTTATCCAATTTGCCAATATGTGTCTTTTAATTGGAGCATTTAGCCTATTTACATTTAAGGTTAATATTGTTATGTGTGAATTTGATCCTGTCATTATGATGTTAGCTGGTTATTTTGCTCATTAGTTGATGCAGTTTCTTCCTAGCCTCAATGGTCTTTACAGTTTGGCATGTTTTTGCAGTGGCTTGGACCGGTTGTTCCTTTCCATGTTTAGTGTTTCCTTCAGGAGCTCTTGTAGGGCAGGCCTGGTGGTGACAAAATCTCTCAGCATTTGCTTGTCTGCAAAGGATTTTATTTCTCCTTCACTTATGATGCTTAGTTTGGCTGGATATGAAATTCTGGGTTGAACATTCTTTTCTTTAAGAATGTTGAATATTGACCCCCACTCTCTTCTGGCTTGTAGAGTTTCTGCTAAGAGATCCACTGTTAGTCTGATGGGCTTCCCTTTGTGAGTAACCTGACCTTTCTCTCTGGCTGTCCTTAACATTTTTTTCCTTCATTTCAACTTTGGTGAATCTGACAATTATGTGTCTTGGAGTTACTCTTCTCGAGGAGTATCTCTGTGGCATTCTGTGTATTTCCTGAATTTGAATGTTGGCCTGCCTTGCTAGATTGGGGAAGTTCCCCTGTATAATATCCTGCAGAGTGTTTTCCAACTTGGTTCCATTCTCCCCGTCACTTTCAGGTACACCAATCAGACATAGATTTGGTCTTTTCACATAGTCCCATATTTCTTCGAGGCTTTGTTCATTTTTTATTCTTTTTTCTCTAAGCTTCTCTTCTCATTTCATTTCATTCATTTGATCTTCCATCACTGATACCCTTTCTTCCAGTTGATCAAATCAGCTACTGGTTCTTATGCATTTGTCCTGTAGTTCTCATGCCAAGGTTTTCAGCTCCATCATGTCCTTTAAGGACTTCTCTTCATTGGTTATTCTAGTTAGCCATTCGTCTAATCTTTTTTCGAGGTTTTAACTTCTTTGCAATGGGTTCGAACTTCCTCCTTTAGCTGGGAGAAGTTTGATCATTTGAAGCCTTCTTCTCTCAACGTGTCAAAGTTATTCTCCGTCCAGCTTTGTTCCACTGCTGGCAAGGGGCTGCGTTCCTTTGGAGGAGGAGAGGCACTCTGATTTTTAGAATTTTCAGTTTTTCTGTTGTTTTTTCCCCGTCTTTGTGGTTTTATCTACCTTTCATCTTTGATGATAGTGACGTACAGATGGGGTTTTGCTGTGGATGTCCTTTCTGTTTGTTAGTTTTCCTTTTAACAGTCAGGACCCTCAGTGGCAGGTCTGTTGGAGTTTGCTGGAGGTCCACTCCAGACCCTGTTTGCCTGGGTATCAGCAGCGGAGGCTGCAGAACAGCAGATATTGCTGAACAGCAAATGTTGCTATCTGATCGTTCCTCTGCATGTTTCGTTCAGAGGGGTACCCGGCCGTGTGAGGTGTCAGTCTGCCCCTACTGGGGGGTGCCTCCAAGATAGGCTACTCGGGGTTCAGGGACCCACTTGAGGAGGCAGTCTGTCCGTTCTCAGATCTCAAAGGGGGCTGGGAGAACCACTACTCTCTTCAAAGCTGTCAGACAGGGACATTTAAGTCTGCAGAGGTTTCTGCTGCCTTTTGTTTGGCTATGGTCTGCCCCCAGAGGTGGAGTCTACAGAGGCTGGCAGGCCTCCTTGAGCTGCGGTGGGGTCCACCCAGTTCGAGCTTCCTGGCCACTTTGTTTACCTACCCAAGCCTCAGCATTGGTGGGTGCCCTGCCCCCAGCCTCGCTGCCACCTTGCAGTTCAATCTCAGACTGCTGTCCTGGCAATGAGCAAGGCTCCGTGGGCATAGGGCCATCCGAGCCAGGTGCAGGATATAATCTCCTGCTGTGCCATTTGCTAAGACCATTGGAAAATCACAGTATTAGGTTGGGAGTGACCCGATTTTCCAGCTGCCGTCTGTCACAGCTTTGCTTGGCTGTGAAAGGGAATTCCCTGACCCCTTGCGCTTCCCGGGTGAGGCAATGCCTCACCCTGCTTCAGCTCATGTTCGGTGAACTGCATCCACTGTCTGACAAGCCCCAGTGAGATGAACCCAGTACCTCAGTTGGAAATGCAGAAATCACCCATCTTCTGTGTCGCTCATGCTGGGAGCTGTAGACTGGAGCTGTTCCTATTTGGCCATCTTGGAACTGCCAATTTTCACTCATAATTTCTTTGGGTCAGTTGAGAGGTTGGGGAGGAAATTTTGCCTCCTCATCAGCTAAAAGACTTAAAGTCTTGGCATTGGAATCTAATTTTTTGAATTCACTGCATGTCTGATAGTTAGTATTGACTCTAGGTTCCAGGCCTACCTGGTGCTATCAGCCAGAATACCCACATGTGGCCTCTCCATCCAGCCTGAGCTTCTTTGCAACATGGTGGCATGTGTCTGAGAGAGAGAAAGCCAGGTGGGAGTTTTGTTGCCTTTTAAGACTGGGACCTGAAAGTCATGCAGCATCATTTCTACTGCATGCTATTGACTGAAGAAGTTACAAAAGTCTTTCCTACTGTGTTTCAAGTAGGGAATCATAGATTCTGTCTCTCAACAGAGGAGCATTTTGGTCACATTGGAAGAAGAAAATGTGGAATGGAATATATATTGATGAATTCATTTTTGGAAAATGTAATTTGCCACCCTACAAAATATGGTCTCTTGACCCCATACCTGAAGGATCTTTCCCCCATAGTCAAACTGTCCTCAGCATCTATGTTTTATAAAGACAGCTTGTTATTTTTGATGAGTTGGGAAGTTTTCAAAGAATTTTCATTGGAATTGATTACTTCCAAAACTTGAGGGCAAAAGAAAACAAGGAAACTGAGGACTAAGCAACGTTTTTTTTTTCTTTTTTTTTTTTTTTTATCTTGCCCAAATTCCTATCTTAGGGGTCTGGAGAGTCATGCCCTGCAAACCATAAATTCTCATTAGATGGGTTTTATTTAACCCTATATATCATGACTTACTTTCTAACCTAACTCTGACATAACATTACATGACAAAAAGAAAATCAAAATATTTTACTCCACAACGTGTTTCTTTGCCATATTTTGAAATGGCCCTGCAAAGCTGTCTTTTGTAGGGAAGAATTTGCATCTGTAAAGAATCTTTATTTACATAGTGAGATCTTTTTCTTCTAGGCCCTCTCAATCCTGAAGAGATTAACTGAGAGTCTAGCACATTTTAAAGGTCTGAATAGGAAACGTGTCATCTATTGTCTCTAAGGGCAGCCATTATGAGACTTCCAAAGAACTTGACCTCCACATTCTTTTATCTTAACCTGAACTTTTCCTTTCTATTAATCCCAGGTCTTCAGACAGACTCAATCAATTGAACCAACTGTAAATCAGAAAATGTTGAAATTTACCTATAGCCTGGAAACACCTCCCCATCTCACCTCCGCTGCCCCACTTTGAATTGTCCCACCTTTCTGGACCAAACCAATGTATTTCTCAAATGTATTTGATTGATGTCTCATGCCTTCCTAAAACGTATAAAACCAAGCTTCTCCCCAAATATCTTGGGCACATGGGTACCTCCGGAGGGCTGTGTTGCAGGCCATGGTCACTCATATTTGGCTCAGAATAAATCTCTTCAAATGTTTTACAGAGTTTGACTCTGTAATTTCAGTTAAATAACTGATGCATTTGATGCTTTTCCCCTCCCCAGATTATTATAGTATTTCAAATAACATCATCCCTTTAAAATTATTGTAGAGTCCAAATAATTGAATTACTGTGTTTCATATGATATTTAATCTGAGAAGAAAACAGCATAAGCAATCTTAGCAAAAACCTCAGAGAAATAATATTTCATTGTCTGAATTCCTAATAAGGAGGAAAACCCTTCATCTAAGGGAATGCCCAATTTACTCATACCCCTCCAGTATGATCGATGGTTAATTATAACAAGTCAATCATTTTTCTGTCTTTACTGGATTTACTTCCCACCATTTAAAAAAATTCTATGGCTTAGATGTCAACCATGTTTTTGATTCTTGAGTGAATTTAATGGTGTTAGATCAGATCTGCTATAAGTCTAGAAAGCACATTAACTAGAAAACACATTAATTCAGTTGATCGTTACTAGTTGTATTGGATACCAAATATAGTTGTCCTACTTTTAAAATTTCCTGCTCAATATTTCAAAATGATAATAAATCTCCCCAAAATATAATTTAAGTGAAGAGAGTTGCATTCCGAAGTCAATAAAATGCCGAATGCTGAAGAGTTATAGCTTCTTTGAAAAATGTTAAAGCATTAAAAACAAGGCAACTGTTAATATTCATATAAAAAGGAAATCATTAACCAAATTATTAGTCGGTGAGAAAATAAGGAACACATTCATTAAAATTGATTTCATCTAAACAGTTGACAAATAAAAGGTATTTGCAACAGACCCAGAGACGACGTAACAGGCTCTGAGAAAATGGGCTGTATAGGATATTTTCTCAGATTTTTCCTACCTAATTCATTTCATTCCTGCATTCTGGACTATTCTCATTGTTTCTTTTTTTCTAGGCAGATTGCTCTTAGTCTCATTACATGTTATACATTACCATCATTCCTTGAATGAAAATTCTTTTGGACATTTCATATTGCTTTTTAAATCCTCACTCACTCACCCAGAGTGGAATTGTCAATACTGCTGTGAAGGCCATTATTATTGGTAATCATGAATGTTCCCCAACTTGGGTTCCTTTTCTCCCTCCCTTTCTTCTCACTACATACAATTATCAAACAATCTCAAACTATTTCAGTGACCCCCTTAAAGATGACTACTACATGCTTTCTGTTTCATATTGCCTCTTCTTACTTTCTAATTGAGTCCTAGAGCATGGTATGCTTTGTTAGGATAAATGTTATGTTGCTGTAAGCGAACCAGAAATGCTGTGTTCACTCTGGATAGGGAGTCCATCACTTATATGGCAACCTGATAGAGCTGAGAACCTGGCTTATCTCCTGACTTACCCTTCTGCCATCCTGAACACTCAGCTTTGATCTCAAGGTCCAAGTGGCCTTTGATGGCTCCCTCCGTGATGACTGTATTCCAGCTAGTGGCAAAGGAGAAAGCAATAAGGGAAAGCACTTTCTTTCTCAATATGCTCTTGGCCCAGAAGTTGTACCACCATGTCCATCAAGTGGAACCTAGTCATGTGGCCTCTTCTTGGAGCAAAGAAAGCAGTTCATACAGTTGCTTATATGAAACTTTCATTATCATAGAGAAAGGAAGGTCGGATATTGGGGAGCAATTAATTGTCTCTCATATAACTTTAGATTCAAGTAGATTTAGCTTTAATTCTGGTTCTGCGATGGATTAACTATTAGGCCTAATATTAGGCCACACAAAAGTCTAAAAGCTTCATCTGATCTTCATCTTTGTCTGATCTGACCTACTTCAAAGAGATATTGAACATATTGCATGTGACAATGAATATTAAATGTTTAGCCCTTTGTTTAGGATAAGATATTTGCTCAATAAATGAGAGGGAGGAAAGACAGAAAAAGAGTAATACCTAAGAAATGTGCTATTGAGGACTCTGAGTTGGGTAGGATTTATATTCATCGAATGCCTACAGGCAGGAATTGTGATTGAGAGGCTAAGTTGGAGAGATAAATGCATGTAGAAAAGATCTTGGTTACTGGCCGGGCATGGTGGCTCATGCCTGTAATCCCCGCACTTTGGGAGCCAAGGCAGGCAGATCACAAGGTCAGGAGATCAAGACCATCCTGGCTAACACAGTGAAACCCCATCTCTACTAAAAATACTAAAAATTAGCCAGGCGTGGTGGTGGGTGCCTGCAGTCCCAGCTACTCGGGAGGCTGAGGCAGGAGAATGGCATGAACCTGAGAGGTGTAGCTTGCAGTGAGCCGAGACCACACCACTGTACTCCAGCCTGGGTGACAGAGCAGCGAGACTCCGTCTCAAAAAATAAAAAAAAAAAAAAAAAGATCTTGGCTATTTAGGTCATAAGTAAATATGCCAAGAACAAAAAGATTGAGAGTAAAGCAAATAAGTAAAATATTGGGAGTTAACTCAAGGTTAGCTAATTTCTTTATCGATTTAGCTAATTTCTTTATTGATTTTTGTTTTCTTCGAGTCATTTGTAACCAGTCATCAGAGGTCAACATTTTTCCCACTTATGTATATTAAATGAAACATTACGCATTAATCATGATTTCCTTATATTGATCGAATGGAAAAATTGCAGCAAGTTCAAGAAGAGTCAAAACTTGGACCAGTTATTCTCCTGCTCTCATAGCTACTAAATTGTGTTGAACACTGACTGACATAAATCTTCACCATTAAGGAAATTAAGGCAGGATATAGAAACATATCATATATGGTATCCAGGGTTGGTAGCCAGTAGAGATCTTCCCTAGAGCTCTTAACAGATGGCACAGGAGAAATTCTGGAAAAACGGAAAAGGGCAAGTAGGCAAGATATTTCCCACCCTTTCAAGCAGAACCATTCTGCTTTAGCATGTAGACGTCCTTCTTGGTTTTGTGAGGAAAAGCCTTCATTTTCCTTTAGGAAATAATAAGAAATATTTTTTTCACAAGATTCAGGTTCTAAGTGCTAAATAGACTCATATAAATTATTATTTTTTTACTTCTAATCATTTATTCGCATCAGCTACAAAGCGTAGTTTCCTCTACAGAAACTTTTTTATCTCCTACTGATTCATTAATTTCTCCCTAAATTGTTCACATGTTCCTCTGTTATACCTACTCTGCTTAACACAGTGTCTGGCGTATAAGAATCTCAACACATTTTATTAAACAATTCAATCTAAGAATAAATGAATATTAACTTATACTACTGAAAAAACAACTATCAGAGGAATCTCAGTAAGAATCCTGCCACCACTAAAATGATTTAGAATTACAGCAAGACCTTGAATAATGTCATTCAAGTCATTCAACATCATTTTGTTGTAACATTGATGAGAAAAAGGAAAAGATTCCTGGCTGGGACTACTGTCTGTGTGGACTTTACATGGTATCCCCATGTCTGCATGGGTTTTTTTCATGTACCCTGGTTTCCACCCAGAGAAGGAAGTATCTCAAAGGTATGGACATCAGGTGACTTGGCATATCTAATAATCCCAGTGTGAGTGACTGTGGGTATTTGTGAATACACCCTGAGATGGAATGGTGTCCTAGCCAGGGCTGGTTCCCACCTTATACAAGGAGCTGCTAGGATAGGATCTGGCCACCCATAACCCTGAACTAGAATAGGCAGGTAAACAATTACCTTACTTGTTTTTGTTAATCATTCTTTATGTATGGCTCACATATATTTCAATGTTTCATATTAGAAATGTTTTGGGTCATTATTTAGGAGTCTGGTGATGCTTTGTGACCAGGAATATGTTGTGGGAATTTAACTCTTGTTTTAGTATCAATTAGCCAATGGTAAAATTGGTTTTGTTATACTTCATTTCACTTAAAGTCACTATTTCCAAGAATCTATCAATTAAGTGAGAACTTACTGTATAAATTAAAAACAACTCTGGGGTCAAATTAAAAAAAAAAAACGTGATTAAATTTCTCATTTCTAAAACTCATGAGTTCTGCCACTACAGAAAAAATCCTGGCAAAGCTTGAAACAACACTAAGGCATGCTGTAATTTTTTTTTAATAAAATACAAAAGATACCTCCTATAAAAATCCAAGTGAGATAATAAATATAAGAACATTTTGTTAATTACAAGTTGCAAAGCAAAATTAAGATGTTGTTATTAAATCCAAACTGGAATCCCTTTCTATTGGGGTTGCATAGCTCTTATACGGATGTAGTACAGTATGATAAAAGTTTTCCTTTACTAAAAGCCTCTGTCTGTGCTCAGTGCTAGGATGAGCATGTGATAATATTTCTGCCATAGATACAGTTTTTGTATGTCCGTGCAGATTCTTATTTGTGAGGAATTGGTGCTCATACAATTAGACATATGAACATGAATCCAATAAATCCAACTGAACAATGGGAGGAATTATCTTATACTTGAAGTCATTGTTTCATATTCCTGAAGCCTCCAGCGGGCTCCAAATACGAGATTTTTGTTTCTCTGTGGCTTCCCCATAGTTCTTTTCCATAAAGAAAGCCTTCTGATACCAGCATGGAGTATGTGAAATTCTTTGGAACTGAAAAGTTGGTCTTTCTTTTGCAGCAAAATGCCATTTATCCAATTCAGTTCTAAGCAAAATCTTTTATTGATACAATAAAAGTAACAGGGGCATAAAAAACAAAAAAGTTTCATTGCTTAGATTTCAATCATGATTTGTTTATAGGATGCAGAAAAATACTTCAGTTCGGCCAGGCACAGTGGCTCATGCCTGTTATCCCAGCACTTTGGGAGGCCGAGGTAGGTGGATCACGAGTTCAGGAGATCAAGACCATGCAGGCTAACATGGTGAAACCCCGTCTCTACTGAAAAATACAAAAAATTAGCCGGGCGTGGTGGCAGGCGCCCGTAGTCCCAGCTACTTGGGAGGCTGAGGCAGAAGAATGGCGTGAACCCGGGTGGTGAAGCTTGCAGTGAGCCAAGATCACGCCACTGCACTCCAGCCTGGGCCACAGAGTGAGACTCCGTCTCAAAAACAAACAAAAAAAAAACACTTCAGTTATTTTCCAACATATGTGTATGCTGTTTCTTAGTACTTGTAAATGGGAGTCCCTGTGGCTTTGGTGTCAGACACCTAGACTCAAGCCTTGACTCTCAAATGCTAGTTTTGTGATCTTGAGCAAATTGCTTACATTTTAGACCTTGTTTTCTCATCTGTGAAATGATTATAATCCTACCTAGGCCACGATATCTTTAGTAAAATTAAGCAAAAATTTTAGTACATAGAAACTGATCAATATAAAATAGTAATTACGATTATGTTCTGTAAGAGTGGAAACAAGAGTCAAAGGAAAAGCCATGGCAACAGAACCATGGGATTACAGTGAAAAACACTAAGTCTCTAAAATGTGGCTCTATTAGAACAACTTTATCAGGATGAGTATAACGCTAGTTAAAAATTACCTGCCTAGAAGTCGATCAGGCAGAATATTTGTGTTTCTAATATAAATACCATTCTCCAGGATATAGTATCACTTTATGCCCAGAGAAACTTTTCATTATGCATATGACAGATATCATACCATATTATACTACTTTTTCATGCCTTAATCTAGCTTACTTTGACTATAGCCCTTATATTAAATCCCTCACTAAATTTCTCATCTTTTATGTGAAGATTATATTTATCAACTTATAAAACATTTTATGACTACTGAAACTCATCAGACATAAAGACAATAATTACAAATATTACTAAGTACAATTACAGATGGGTAAGTATAATTGAAGTGTCTTAGATTAGCTTCTACTTTCGTAAACTCAGAAGACTCATACAGTCACTACATACATCATCTTCTCTATCAACAGATAATTTTGTATTCATTATGCATTCTTATCTTTTAGACCTTATAAGGATCCTTAACATTTCTCAGATTTTAGCAGTTTATTGCTACTGCTTTCATTTCTACTTCCTGGCTTGCTTATAAAGTTATTTTTTAAATTACTTGATCACATCTTGGAATGGCTTGTCCAAAATGCTGGAAGAAGTTATTTTTTTGTATGAAACATTTGGACCTTATAACAGCTAAACCTTTTTTTTCTCCCAAGATTCAAAACAATTTCTTCAACCACAAATCCCATATTTCTATAAGTTATATTTTTGCAGGGCAAAATTCCCTTGTAGCATGTTGATATGTGTTACCTTTGTACACAGGATATTTTGTGATTATGAGGAATTTGTTTATAATTACCAGTCCCAAATTTGGGCTAGACACATTTCTACATGTGTCTTAGATAATACCATAGGTTCTGCTTCAGTTTCTGAATTTAGCTTGTTTACATTATGTATGTCTGTTACAAATGTGTGAGTGAATTTGGATGGATGAATCAGTAACTTTGCATGCAAAATACAACTCAAAGATCTTAGTATTTACAAAAAATATGCATACCAAATGTTTTTACTTGATATCAGGTTCTGTCTATTGTGGAGCAAGCAGGGTGAAATATAATGCATAAACTAAGATTTATTTTCCTTTATAGAAGGAAACAGACTCCCTTTGAAGTATTTCCTATCATCAGCAAGTTCGGAGGCAACTCCTCAAATATTTAACATTATAGCAATGTTCAAAGATAGTAGAAGCAGAAAATGTCTAGCCTTTAAACGCAAAAGTAAATAACAGCCTCTATATTGGAAAAGAAATTATATCATCTGAAGATTTCATTTAGTAAGGAGTAAAGGACTGAATTTATGGGTGGATGAATTTTCTTTTCCTATAGTGTTTGTTAAAGCCTCTTTTTGTTTATGCAATGTTAAATTACTTCTTTAGTATAGGCCAAATGAACGACAGGTCTTCATAAAACTCATTAGTTGAATGACTGCTTGCAGGAGCAAAAAAGTGGAGATTTTTAGCTAAGAATGGACCATGGAAATATGTTGAAAAATTGCTGAACTTGTCTGTAGGAGAGTCACTTAGAACTGTGCTCCACAATAGCCTTAACTACTATGTGTTCATTGATTTATTTACTTGTAAAAAGAAAACAGCTGTATCATGATTGCAGTCAGTTGCAAATGGCTGTTTCTTTTATTTTTATCCATTTTATGATAGATCAGTTATCAAAGAAACATTGCCAAAGCTTTGATTTTTTTCATATAGTAGGCTGCTTTAAAAAAGAAATAAACAAAACAGAAGTTGACATTGTCTAAATAAGTCCTTTTGATTTGAAATACGGTTCTTGAGGAATTACGTAATTTTCCCTCCATCACTACTAGGTGGTTCTGAACGAAGAAAGAAATGCTTGTAAATTGTTTTGAAGCTTATTGCCAGCAAAATAGTACAGCTTATTATAGTATCATATATTTCACAAAGAGTGCTTTGCAGTCTTAGAACACAATAGATATATTTTTGTTAGCTGAGTAGATATCAAGCCAAATTGCACAACCACTTTACCCAATGAGAAGCGTGAAGCCAACTAACATGTCTCTCTCTTTATGACCACAAAGCAATAAGGCCTTCTTTGCCTGTTTCTCTTGATCTTTCCTTTGTTCCCCTCCTCCTTTTCTACTGACTTCTGCAGTCTAGGGAAGTGCCCAGACATATAATTGGGCCAATTTTCTTAGAAATCCAATGACAGCAACCCCCTTTGCAAGGCCTTGGAAATGTCCTGTTCTTCTTGAACTCACTGGAGATCCTGGAGACCTGGCACAGAGGAGTGAGAAGAAAGATGGAAGTTGGTGAAATTTCTTTTTTTGGTTTGATGATTGCAATTTGACTCATCTATTCACAGCTAGCTATGGCCATTTTGTCTTTATATGATATGAAACACAAATTACGTTCACAAGATTTTCAAAATAACACATAAATAGTCTGTTTCCCTCAATATTATTAAGCTTACATGGAGAACACATACACATATGGAATCTTATGACAGAAATTAAGTTAAAGTGCTGATTTCATTCCACTCATAAAATAAGCTCTCCTTTTTGTACCATATACTTTATAATCACACACTTGATGTTCTTAGAGAAAATGATTTATATTTTCTAAAAGGAAATAAACATTTTATGATGCTAAATGATAAATTAATGATAAACCATCCCAAAATGTCTTTTAAAACTATAGATGATGTTAAATAAACAAAATAAGGCAAATGGATACTGAGATAACATAGAGGGATACATATTGATCAGAACTAAGAATTCTAATAATGGAAAAATATCAGTCTTGCAGGTGGCTTCTGGTCTCATTTTTCAACCTGTGGACTAATATATAAATATTAAAAGTCATAAATATTTTATCATGGCTTTTAAGAAGAAATAAACCACATGCTACAGCAAAATGCATATATAAGATCATTATGCTCACAGTTTAAGGTCATTTAGAAAGTTGTTAGTGTAACTTAGACTCCTTAGGTTCTCAACAAATGCTTCTACATTCTAATTATCCTACCAGGACTAAAAGCCATGGTGATGAGAGACTGAGCCACATGCTTATTCTAATTTCCCACTTTGCTCTGCATTCCGCTGACAAAATGACATCAACATATATTAATCAAGCACTTTCTATTGCTTTCGTTGGAACATATAAGGAATCAAGTAAAATCGTATTTTGTCCATAAGAAGTTTATAATATCTCAAGGATGTTATTTGTTTCCTTACTTTTTTTTCTAGAGATGATCAACTTACAAAAGACCAGGGACACCTGTCCAAAGAGAGATAAATAGAAGCAAGCTCAAGTTTTATGTTGCTATTACGTTGTCTGGCTTAGGACATCCAACCTCTACTTCCTGCAACTCATCAATCAGAGAATTCTCTTTTGTTTCACCAAAGTACAAAAATACACATTCCATCATAACTGTGACAGTTTCCAGCCAGTGTAGCAACTCCGTTCCTGATTTCTAAACCTACCCTACTTTGTTGATGCCATTCAAATGGAGCAGTGGTGTCCTTTTTTTTTTTTTTTTTTTTGTTAGTAATGAAAATGACCCTTCTTGATTTGTAAAATATTACGTAATTTGAATTTGGCGGCCTTCCCTTTCCCAGGTCCTCCCCTTATTTGTAAGATTTTATATGGAACAATTATAGTACCTTAAACTGACACCTTTCCCTTTTTAGATTCTGATGAAAAAAAAATCCTTCCAATACCTTCTAAGAATTCATATTTCTCTGTGACTATCTATAGAGTGCTCGGTTCCAGAGATACATAGTTAAATAAAATAGGATTTCTACCATGTTTTAGAATAGATGTGGCTGGGGACAAGTAACAAGAGATTTAAAAATGAAAAATGAATCCTAGAATCTAGGCCACATAACAAAAAAAACAAATGCAGGAGTGAAGCCTGGATTTGAGCTCATAAAGCCTGGCTGTAAAGCCTGTACTCACAGGAGCACTGGGAGCATCAAAGTGAAAGAGTTGAAGAAAAGTTTATTGTCATATGAAATATTAGAGGCTTAAAATTTCAAAGCTTAAATATTTGAAAATAAGACACAGTTCATGTTCTGGTCACAGAGGTTGTTTTGATGAAGTAGGTTATTTTAAATCAATAATTGTTATAATAATGATCATTGACAGATTTCCTAGTATTCGTAGTGGTAATACAACCATTTATTCTGTGTTTTTAATTTTCCCATAAAATGGAATGTTCACCAGAATGGGTTTGGGGACTATTTTACGGAATAAGAAACTGAGGATCAGACTGCTTAATTAACTTGCTTATAATTCCAAAACAAATACTAGGTAGAGCCAAAATTTAAATCTAGATCTTTTTTATTTTAGAAATATTTTATTGAAGTATACAATGCATATATTAAAGTGTACATACAATAGGTTTTTTGCTTGATTACTTTTCAGCAAATTAACACACTCATATAACAAGCACCCAGGTTAAGAAAGATAATATTGCAGTGCCCCCAAATACCCGCTAACACCCCATTCACTTTTCTGACTTCTAATCTCAAAGACGAGTTTTGTATGTTTTGGTGTTCTATTTAAATGGAATGATAGAGTATGTACTTTTTGTGTCTGGATCCCTTCCATTAATATAAAACCTAGATCTGTTGGTCTTGACCGTCAATCTTTCTTCAAAACACTACCAGAAGTGATGATTTTAGAGATGAAAATTTAAGGAGGAGAGGCTACTGTGCTAATTGAATCAATAAGAATATTGAAATAACTCAAGATCAGGATGTGAATAATGATGGAGAAGTTGTTTCATAAGGGCCAAGTCTAAGTTTATAGGAAAAAGATCAGGAAATTGGAAGAAGACAATAGCACTGAAAAAAGTAAACTATGTAATCTGATAGCAGAGCATTAAATGACACATGTTATGCATAGGTAGAGGAGTATTCATTTAGAAAATCAATGGAGAGCAAGATTGTTGCCAAATTTCTTCCTGCCTCTAAAGTAGGTAGAAAGTGAGAGAAGCAGTGTTCCCAGAGAAGACTCAGGCTTCAGTTATTACCAGGAAAGGATCATTCAAAAGGATCTAATCTTCGTTAACTCACAAAATAAAAATATATACATATATCTAGGAGGATTAATATAGTGAAAGAAGATTCAGTTACTTGGAACATTGAATTAACTCACAAACCCCTCATTGTTCAAATTCACCCTATTCCCACAGGCCGTGAAGTAGACAGGTTATATATGGCTCTGCTCCAGAAGTCTCTGGTCTGATACTCTCTCTGCTCCCTATGCCAGACGTACTGATCATGAGTACCCCTTCATATTTTCTTTCCCATTTCTCCATATTACCTCTCCCACATTCTCATTAAATCATGCTGCCTCTATGTACTTGGAATCCCTTCTCTGAACCTTGCTATCTAGGTTCTCCTCTTGGTTGGCTTCATTTTAGGTGACTTCTCTCACAAACACATAATAACTTGTCTTCCTACCCATAATCTTCTGCTTCCAGTTGTGTCATCATTTTTAAAATTAATTTTTAAAGGTAATTTCTATTGCAGTTCAAAATCACACATAGGTATCACAATTCATATTTGCTGAAAATAAATACAATCAACAAAAATCACTTCCTTAGGCATGACTCTGATTAGAAAATGAAGAATGATATCTCATCAACTCTGGCATACTTCAATATAAAAGTGAATCAATGCAAAAATGCTGATGTGTGCAAAGAATACCAAATAAACAAATAAACATGGTTATGAAAAATTATCTTGAGAAAAGAATATAAACAATGAATAGTGATCAGAGTAGGGATTTGGATAACACAGATGTCTTATAGAATACCAAATGTAACACATTAGGACAAGCTAGGCTGAGCTGTGGTAACAGTAATCTGCAACTATCAATGCCTTAACATCATAACAATTTCTTGTTTATGTGTATATCTTGATGCAGGTGGGCACACTCAGATTTGTGCTTTTCCCATTGTGTGTCTCCAATATCTCAAAGTTATTTGCTTTCACCCCCATGGATGAGGTTGAGAGAAATCAGTGTAAAAGACCAAGCCAGAAAATGCTGTATCTAGTTCTATCTAGATTTCTTTGGCCAGAACTGATCACACAAGAACTATAAAACTGGGAAATATGGTTTATCTTTGTGTACAAGAAAACAATCTATTCAGTTGCTGCCACATGTAGCATTTTTTTAAATTACTGAATATTAGAATTGCACAGACATCCAAGACTTTACACTGACAATCAGAGGTATAATAATTGGGCTTTATTCTTAATGACTTAATTGAAGCGTAATTTACATACGATAAAATTCACCCATTTTAAGCTTACAATTCAATGACTTTTTTGTAAATGTGGAATTTCATAACCTTTATCATCACTACAATTGAGTTTCCTAAATTGCCATCAATCCAACAAGGTCCTTTACTTCCCATTTAAAATTAATACAATTTCCGACTCCAACCACAGGCAACCATCACTCTTTATTATTTATTTTCTTTGTGTATTTTTGGAAAGAAAGTATGTTTACATTTGTCTTTTTTTGTTTGTTTCAGTTATGGGGTAGAAGTACAACTATATTACATGCATAGATTGTCTACTGGTCATGTCAGGACTATTAGAATATCCATTACTAGAATAACATACATTGTACCTATTAAGTAATTTCTCATCATCCACTCTGCTCCATCCATCCTACCTTCCAAGTCTCCATTGTCTATCATTCCACTCACTATGTCCATGTGTACACATTTTTAGTACCCACTTATGAGTGAGAACATGGGATATTTGACTTTCTGTGTCTGGCTCTTTTCACTTAAAATAATGACATCCAGTTCCATTCATGTTGCTGTAAAAAACATGATTTCACTTTTTTTCATAGCTAAATGGTATAACATTGTGATACATACCCCATTTTCTTTATTCAGTCATCCAGTGTTAGACACTTCAGTTGATTCTATATCTTTGCTATTGTGAATATTGCTGCAACAAATATACAAGTGCTGCTATCTTTTTGATATATTAATTTCCTTTGGGTAGATATCCAGTAGTGGGATTATTGGATCAATTGGTAGTTCTAGTCTTAGTTCTTTGAGAAATTTCCATACTATTTTCCATAGAGGGTGTTCTAATTTACATTCCCATCAAGAGTGTATGAGTTCCCTTTTCTCTACATCCATGCCAACATCTGTTATTTTTTGTCTTTTTAATAATAGCCACTCTGACAAGGGTAAGATGATATCTAATTGTGGTTTTGATTTATATTTCTCTGATGATTAGTGATGTTGAGCATTTTTTCATATATCTGTTGGCCGGTTATATGTCTTCTTTTGAAAAAATGTCTATTCATGCCCTTTTTCTACTTTGTAAGGGGATTATTTGTGAGGTTTTTTTGTTGTTACTGTTGAGTTCTTTGCACATTCTAGATATTAGTCCCTGTCAGATGAATAATTTGAAAATATTTTCTCCCATTCTGCAGACTGTCTGTTCATTTTGTTGATTAGTTCTTTCACTGGGTGGAAGCTTTTGAGTTTAATTAAGTCCCATTTATCTATTTTTGTTTGTGTTACCTGTGATTTGGAGGTTTTGGTCATAAATTCTATGTCTAGATCAATGTTCAGAAGAGTTTTCTTTAGGTTTTCTTCTAGTATTTTTGCAATTTTGGGTGTTACATTAAAACCCTTAATCCATCTTGAGTTGATTTTTGTATATGGTGAGAGATACAGGTCAAGTTTCATTCTTCTGCATATGGCAATCTAATTTTCCTAGCACCATTGATTGAAAAGGGTACCCTTTTCCCAACGGATGTTCTTGTTGACTTTGTCAAAGATCAGTTGCCTATAAAAATGTGGCTTCATTTCTGTGTTCTATATTCTCTTCTATTGACCTGTGCATCTATTTTTATACTAGTACCATGCTGTTATGGTTACTATAGCTGTATAGTATAGTTTGAAGTCAGGGAATGTGATCCCTCCTGCTTTTTTCTTTTTGCTCAGGTTTGCTTTGGCTATTTGGACTCTTTTTTGGTTCCATATGAATTTTAGGATCTTTTCTCAGATTTCGTGAAAATTCATGTCGGTATTTTGATATGGATTGCATTAAATGTGTAGATTGCTTGAGGCAGTATGGTCATTTTAAAAATATTAATACTTCTGATCTACAATCATGGGATGCTTTTCCATTCATTTGTATCATCTGCAATTTCTTTCATCAGTGTTTTGTAGTTTCCCTTTTGGAGATTTTTTATAATAACTCTTTGGTTAAACTTAGTCCTAGGTATTTTTTTGTTATTGTTGTTCCTATTGTAAATGAAATTGTCTTCTTGATTTTATTATCAGCTAGCTTATTTTTAAAATTTTTATTTTAAGTTCTGGTGTACATATGCAGGATGTGCAAGTTTGTTACATAGGTAAATGTGTGCCATGGTGGTTTGCTACACCTATCAACCCATCTCCTAGGGATTAAGCCCAGCATGCATTAGCCATTTTTCCTAATGTTCTTCCTCCCCTCACCTCACCCCACAACAGGCCCCAGTGTGTGTTGCTCCCCTTCCTGTTTCCATGTGTTCTTATTGTTCAGCTCCCACTTGTAAGTGAGAACATGAGGTGTTTGGTTTTCTGTTCCTGTGTTAGTTTGCTGAGGATTACGGCTTCCACCTTCATCCATGTCCCTACAAAGGACATGATCTCATTCCTTTTTATGGCTGCATAGTATTCCATGGTGTATGTGTACCACATTTTCTTTATCCAGTCTATCCTTCCTGGGCATTTGGGTTGATTCCATGTCTTTGCTACTGTGAATAGTCTCAGCTAGATTATTACTGGTGTATAGAAATGCTACTGATTTTTATATGTTGATTTTTTATCCTGAAACTTTAGTAAGTCCATTTATCAATCTAAGAGATTTTTCATGGAGTCTTTAGGTTTTTCTAGATGTAAGATTTTGTCATCAGCAAACAGTGGTAATTTGACTTCCTCCTTTCCAATTTGGATGCCTTTTATTTCTTTCTGTTTCTTGATTCCTCTGGCTAGTACTACCAGTACTACGTTGAATAAGAGTAGTAAAAGTGGGCCGGGTGCGGTGGCTCATGCCTGTAATCCCAGCACTTTGGGAGGCTGAGGTGGGTGGATCATGAGGTCACGAGATTGAGACCATCCTGGCTAACATGGTGAAACCCTGTCTGTACTAAAAATAACAAAAAATTAGCGGGGTGTAGTGTTGGGCGCCCGTAGTCCCAGCTACTTGGGAGGCTGAGGTAGGAGAATGGCATGAACCTGGGAGGCAGAGCTTGCAGTGAGCCGAGATCGTGCCACTGCACTCCAGGCTGGGCAACAGAGCAAGATGCTGTCTCAAAAAAAAAAAAAAAAAAAAAAAGTAGTAAAAGTGGGCATCCTTGTCTTATTCCAGTTCTTTCAACTATTCCCCATTCAGTATAATGTTGGCTCTGCTTTTTGAACAGTTCATGTCAATGTATTCATACAACATGTTAACTTTTGACTCTTCTTTTAATTAGCAAAATGTATTTGAGATCCACCCATGTAGTAGCTTGTGTCCGTAGTCAGTTTCTTTTTACTGCTGAATAGTATTTCATTCTATGTATATACCACATGTGTTTATCAGTTCACCATTTCATGGACATTGGATTCTTTCCACTTTGGGCTATAATTTAAAATGCTGTTATGAACATTTGAATATAAATATTCAAATGGGGATTTATATTCATGGGGATATATATTTCCTTTCTCTTGGGTAGATACTTGTAAGTGGAATTGCTGGGTCATATGGTAAATTTATGGTTTTTACTTGTTTGCTTTATATGTATATAAAAGCTCTGTTTTTAGATATACATTGTTCATACTTGTTATATGTTTCCTCTGGTTATTTTATCTTCAGTAATATTTTTTCCTTATAGCCTGTTTTTGTGATATTAGCAGAATAACTGTAACTTGCATATGGTTATTATTCCAAAGGCTTATCATTCTCCATCCTTTTACTTTCAGCCTGTTTGTGTCTATGAATCTAAATTACTTCTCTTATAGACAACAAGTATTTTGATCCTGTTTTTTAATTCATACTGACAATCTCTATCCTTTTATTGGACCACTTAGTCTGTTTACATTTAACATGCTTATTGAAATGTTTAGATATACGTCTCCCATTTTGCTATTTGATTTCTGTATATTTATGTGATCTATCCCTCTGTTCTTTTAGTACCATCTAAAATTACTAAAAATAAATTTCAATAAAATATACAAAATATAGTAAAACATAGAAACTTCTCTCCAACATAGCTCTATCTTCTTCTTTCTTTTCACTATGATTATCATTAACAGATTAAATGCTCCAATAAAAAGGCAGAGATTGTCAGTATGGATTTTTTTTTTTTTTTTTTGAGATGGAGTCTCGCTCTCTCACCCAGGCTGGAGTGCAGTGACACGATCTCAGATCACTGCAAGCTCCACCTCCTGGGTTAATGCCATTCTTCTGCCTCAGCCTCCCAGTAGCTGGGACTACAGGCATCCGCTACCACGCCCGGCTAATTTTTTGTATTTTTAGTAGTGACGGGGTTTCACAGTGTTAGCCAGGATGGTCTCGATCTCCTGACCTCATGATCCACCCACCTCAGCCTCCCAAAGTGCTGAGATTACAGGCATGAGCCACCGCACCCAGCTGGCTGGATTTTTAAAAAAAATATCAAAATATATGCAATCTATAAGAGAAATAATTTTGATTAATAGACACTAATAGGCTGAAAGTAAAAGAATGGAAAATGATAAGCCTTGAAACAGTAAACATATGCAAGATGTTTATATACTAATTGAACTAATCACAAAAATAGACTTTAAGGAAAAATATTATTAGAGATAATATGATTACAAGGAATGTATCAAGTATGAACACATATCAAGTTCATACCTTTGTGTTTAGGTATGAACACATACCTAAAAACAGAGCCTCAATATAAATGAAGCAAAAAAGTAAAAACATAAATTTACCATATTACCCAGAATTCCACTTACAAGTATCTTCTTAAGAGAAAGGAAATGTATATCTTCATAAAAATTGTATGTTAATTTACAAGAAAAAAAACATCAAAAAGTGGGCAAAGGAGATGAACAAACACTTCTCAAAAGAAGACATTTACACAGCCAACTAACATGAAAAAAAGCTCAACATCACTGATCAACAGAGAAAGGCAAATCAAAACCACAAGGAGATACCATCTCACACCAGTCAGAATGGTGATTATTGAAAGGAAACAATAGATGCTGGCAAGGCTATGGAAAAATAGGAACACTTTTACACTGTTGATGGGAATGTAAATTAGTTCAACCATTGTGGAAGACAGTATGGCGATTCCTTGAGGATCTAGAACCAGAAATACCATCTGAACAAGCGATCCCATTACTGGGTATATACCCAAAGGAACAGAAATCATTCTACTATAAAGACACATGCACACGTATGCTTATTGCAGCACTATTTACAATAGCAAAGTCATGGAAGCAACACAAATATGCATCAATGATAGACTGGATAAAGAAAATGTGGTACATATACACCATGGAATACCATGCAGCCATAAAAAGCAATGAGGCCATATCTTTTGCAGTGACATGGGTGAAACTGGAAGCCATTATCCTCAGCAGACTAACACAGGAACAGAAAACCAAACACTGCATGTTCTCACTCATAAGTGGGAGGTGAACATTGAGAATACATGCACACAGAGAGGGGAGCAACACATGCCAGGGCCTGTTGGGGGTTGGGGACTGAGGGGAGGGAACTTAGAGGATGGGTCAATAGGTGCAGCAAACCACCATGGCACATGTATACCTGTGTAACAAACCTGCACGTTCTGCACATGTAACCCTTTTTTTTTTTTCCAGAAGAAACAAAAAAAAATGTGTATGTTATACCTTTACATGTTATAAACCCAACAATAGTTTTATAGTTATTGTTTTATGCAGCTTTCTTTTAAATCAATTTAGAAGAAAAGATAATTATTAGACTGTCTTTCATATTTATCTACATAAGAACTTAGAGCAGCACTGTTTATTTATTGCCATGGATTGCAGTTATCATATGGAGTCATTTACTTTTCATCTGAGGACTTAGTTTGGAATTTCTTGTAGAGCCAGCTTGCTAGCAGCAATTCTCCCAGTCTTTGTTTATCGAAAGTGTCTTTATTTTACCTTCAGTTTTTGAAAGATTGCTGTGCTGGATGTCGAATTGCTGGTTGATAGCTATTTTTATCTTACAACTTTTTGAATATATCATCTGACTGCTTTCTAACCTCTCTTGTTTTCTTAATTTATTTTTTTATTTTTGAGAGCACACAGTAGATGTATACATTGCACAATGATTACAACAGCATAAATGGGGGTATCCGTCAACTCAAGTATTTATCCTTCCTTTGTGTTACAATCAATTCAATTATACTCTTTTAGTTATTTTGTTACTGGCGGGTCTTTGTTCTTAGAGCTCCCAAGATGGTGGCAGGCTGCTTCCAAGATGGCGGGAAGACTTTTGTTCTTTGACCTGGGGTTCTTGGCCTCCTGGATTCCAAGGAATGGAATCTTGGGCCATGTGGTGAGTGTTATAGCTCTATTAGAAGCCATGGGTCATGGAAGAGAACCGTGGAACCCAACCACTAGTGTTCATCTCAGTTAGCATGAACCCGGGCATTCAGCCCGCAGGAACAATGGCGAGCTTCTACCCTGATCGGGAGCAGCAGTGGGCGTCTCACTGGATCAGAAGTGCAGTGGACACCCTGCTGGATCTGGAGGAGTGGAAGTTAGTGGTGGGTCTGCGACAGTGACAATCAGCAGTGGTGGATGGCGAGCGAAAGCTCAGCTCGAGCCAGAACAAACACGGACCAAAAGAGTGTGCAGTTGCAAGATTTAACAGAGTGAAAACAGAACTCCCATACAACAGGAGGGGACCCAAAGGGGGTTGCCCCTGCCGGCTCCAATGCTGAGGGGGTTTATTTCCCAATCATTGTCCCTACCCCTGTGCTTTCAGGCGATAGATGATTGACTATTTCTTTACCTCCTGCTTTTAGCCTAATTGGTATTTTAGTGAGGTCTCTTTACTACTTGATTGGTCGAGGGTGAGCTGAATTACAAGTCCCGTGCTTAAAGTTGGATGTGGTCGCCTTCCCCAGCTAGGTTTAGGAATTCTTAGGCTAGGAAATCCAGCTAGTCCTGTCTCTCAATTTTAAAATATACAATAAATTATTTTTGACTGTAGTCATCCTGTTGTGCCATCAAATACTAGATCTTGTTCACTCTAATGATATTTTTGTACCTGTTTATCACCCACCCACCCCTCACTACCCCTCCCAGCCTCTGGTAACCATCATTCTACTCTCTATCTCCATGAGTTCAATTGTTTTAATTTTTTAGCTCCCATACATAAGAAGATGTGAAGTTTCTCTTTCTGTGGCTGGCTTACTCCACTTAACATAGTTACCTCCAGGTCCATCCGTGTTGTTGCAAATGACAGGATCTCATTCCTCTTTTTTTTTTTTTTTTAATCTCTGAATGGCATTCCATTGTGTGAATATAGCACATTTTCTTTTAACCATTCATCTGTTGACGGACACTTAGGTTGCTTCCAAATCTTGGTTATTCTGAATAGTGTTGCAGTAAACGTGGGAATGCAGATATGTCTTCAATATACTGATTTCCTTTCTTTTGTGTATAAACCTAGCAGTGGGATTCCTGGATCATATGGTAGCTCTATTTTTAGTCCTTTGTGCAGCTTCTGAACTGTTCTCCATAGTGGCTGTACTGATTTATACTCCTACCAACAGTGTACAAGTTGAAAAGAGTTCCCTTTTCTCCACATCCCCAGTGGCATTTGTTACTGCCTGTCTTTTGGATAAAAGCCGTTTTAACTGGGGTAAGATGATATCTCATTGTAGTTTTGATTTGCATTTATCTGATGATTAATGATGTTGAGCTTTTCATATACCTGTTTGCCATTTGCATGACTTCTTTTGAAAAATATCATTTCAGATCTCTTGTCTATTTTTTAAATTGGATTAGATTTTTTTCCTATTGAGTAGTTTGAGCTTATATATTTTGATTATTGATCATCGTCAGATGGCTAGTTTGCAAATATTTTCTCCCATTCTGTGTGTTGTCTCTTCAGTTCATTGGTTGTTTCCTTTGCTGTGCAGAAACTTTTTAACTTGACGTGATCCCATTTTTCCATTTTTGCTTTGGCTGCATTATTATTAATGCAGTTATTATTAAAATCTTTGCTCAATCTAATGGCCTGGAGAGTTTCTCCAGTGTTTTCTTTCAGTAGTTTCATAGTTTCAGGTCTTGGATGTAAGTCTTTAATTCATTTTGACTTGATTTTTATAAATGGCAAGAGATACAGATCTAATTTCATTCTTCTGCATATGGATATCCAGTTTTCCCAGCACCATTTATTGAAGAGACTGTCTTTTCTCTAGTTTATATTCTTGCCACTTTTGTCAAAAATGAGTTTACCAGGTCTGGCGCAGTGGCTCACATCTGTGATCTCAGCACTTCCGGAGGCTGAGGCAGGTGGATCAGCTGGCCCACGTGGTGAAACCCGTCTCTACCAAAAAAAAAAAAAAAAAAAATTAGCCAGGTATGTTTGCAGGCACCTGTTTTCCCAGTTACTAGAGAGACTGAGGTGGGAGAATTGCTTGAGCCCGGGAGGTGGAGGTTGCAGTGAGCTAAGATCAGGCCACAGCCCCAGCCTGGGTGACAGAAAAAAAAAAAAAAAAAGCTTACTGTAGCTGTATGGATTTATTTCTGAGTTCTGTATTATGTTCCACTAGTCTATGTGTCTGTTTTTATGCCATTACCATGCTCTTTTAATTATTGTAAGTCTGTAGTGTAATTTGAAATCAGGTAGTGTGATTCGTCCAGTTTTATTAATTTTGCTACAGAGAGCTTTGCATATTCTGAGATTGTTGGGGTCCCATATACATTTCAGTATTGTTTCTTCTATTTCTGTGAAAAACGTCATTGGTATTTTGATAGGGATTGCATTGAATCTGTAGATTGCTTTGGTTAGTATGGAAATTTTAAAAATATTGATTCTTCTAATCCATTTACATGAAATATCTTTCCATTTTCTGTGTCCTCTTCAGTTTCTTGCATCAATGTTTTATTGTTTTTAGTTTAGAGATATTTCACTTCCTTAGTTAAACTTATTTCTAGGTTTTTAATTTTGTTTTTAGCCATGGTAAATGGAATCACTTTCTTGATTTCTTTTTTAGATTGTTCACTTTTGAAATATAGAAATGCTACTGATTGTTGTATGTTGATTTTACATCCTGCAACTTTGCTGAATTTGTTTTTTAGTTCTAATAGTTTTTTCATGGAGTCTTTAGGTTTTCCCCAATATAAGATTATATTATCTGCAAACAAGGATAATTTGACTTCTTCCTTTCCAATGTAGATGCCCTTTATTAATCTTTCTTTTCTGATTGCTCTAGCTAAGACTTCCAATACTATGTTGAATAAGAGTGGTGATAGTGGGCATCTTGTCATGTCCCAGATCTCAGAGGAAAGGGTTTTAGTTTTTCCCTATTCAGTATGATACTAGCTGTAAGTCTGTTGTATATGACTTTTGTTGTGTTGAGGTGTTCCTTCTATAGCCATATTTTATTTTAGGGGATGGTTATCATGAAGGGATATTTAATTTTATCAAATGCTTTTTCATCATCAATTAAAATGATTATATGGTTTGTGTCCTTTATTCTGTTGATATGATGTATCACATTAATTGATATTCATATGTCGGGCAATCCTCACATTACTAAATTAAATCCCACTTAGTCGTGATGAACGATCTTTTTAAATGTGTTGTTGAATTCTGTTTGCTAGTATTTCATTGAGGATTTTTTATCAATTCATTAGGAATATTGTAGTATAGGGGTTTTCTGTTTGTTTGTTTGTTTGTTTTGAAAACAAACAAACCTGGTTTGGATATCAGGATAGTACTGGCCTCATAGCATTCATTCATCCTCTATTTTTTGAAACAGTTTGACTGGGATTGGTGTTAGTTCTTTAAATGTTTAGCAGAATTAAACAGCAAAGCCATTAGTTTCCAGGTTTTCCTTTGTTTGGGAGACTTTTTATTATAGGTTTGATCTTGCTACTTGCTATGGGTCTATTCAGGCTTTTTTGCTTTCCATATTCACATCCAGTCATAGTTATAAGAAACCTTATTTTTAAAATGCAGTCATTTATTAATAATACCTCAGTAAAAACAAGTAGCCTTCAAATAAGAAGCAGATTCAAAAAAAGCAAAAATTAAAACTTAAAATATCTTAGAAAATAGTGTGAATACAGATTCAAAAGATAGTTAAGAGATTTATTTTTTAAGACTACCTAGGATTAAGGCTTATAATACATTTCGGTATTTCAAGTTTTTCCTAAGTTATTAAACATCAATTTACAAATAACGTGTTCATTTTTTGTTCCTTTATCAAAAGAGAAAATTCTAGCTTCAATTCTGTACAGTGTAGGGGAGGGGGACTAGAAAATAAAAATACTCAAACAGGTCTATGCAAATATTACGTTTTTCAAATGGAATAACTTTCAACTAGACCAGAAGTTTATACTGCTAATATAATTTTCATTGAAACAATTTTTAATAAGAACAAATACATAACATTAAGGTTCAGCACCTAATATAGTCCTGACAATAAAGTTTCATAGTTCAATCTTGATAGGTTGGATGTGTCTATGAATTTATCCATTTCTTCTAGACTTTCCAATTTATTGCATATAATTGCTCACAGTGCCCTCTATCAATCCTTTGAATTTTTGTGTTGCCAGTTGTTGTATCTACTTTTTCATCTCTGATTTTATTTATTTGTATCTCCTTTCTTTTTTTCTTAGTTATTTGGGGTAAACGTTTGTTGAATTTGTTAATTTTTACAAGAAACAAATTTTTCATTTTGTTAATTTTTCTATTTTTTGTTTCAATTTCACCTATTTCTGCTCTGATTATTCCTTTCTCCTAATAAGTTTGGGTTTGGTTTGCTCTTTCTTTTCTAGTTCTTTAAGATATATGAACAGATTGCTTATTTGAAGTTTTTCTACCTTTTTGATGTAGGCACATATAGGTATAAACTTTCCTGTTAGGACTACTTTCACTGTATCCCATAGGTTTTGATATGTTATGTGCCATTACCATTTGTTTCAATAAATTTTTAAATTTTCTTCTTAGTTTCTTCATTAATCATTGGTCATTCAGGAGCATATTTTTGAATTTCCATATGTTTGTATAGCTTCCACAATTCCTCCTGTTATTGATTTCTAGTTTTATTCCATTGTGTTCAGTAGAAATACCTGATATAATTTCAATTTTTAAAATTTTTAAAGACTTATGTTTTCACCTATCATATGGTCTATTCTTGAGAACCATCCATGTGCTTAGGAGAAGAATATGTATTCTACAGTTGTCGGATGAGATGTTCAGTAAATATTTGTTGGGTCCATTTGGTCTACAGTGCAGATAAAGCCTGATATTTATTCATTGATTTTCTGTCTGAGTAATCTGTCCAAGTGCTGCAAGTGGGTGTTTGAGTCTCTAGCTATTATTATATTGGGCTCTATCTCTCTCTTTAGCTCTAATAATATTTGCTTTATATATTGAGATGCTCCAGTGTTGGGTGCATATATATTTATAGTTGTTACATTCTCTTGCTAAATAGACCTTTCTATCATTATTTAATAACCTTCTTTATCTCTTTTTATAGTTTTTGTCTTGAAATCTATTTTGTCTGATATAAGTATAGCTACTCCTTGTCTTTTTTGGTTTCCATATGCAGAGAATATCTTTTTCATTCCTTTATTGTCTGTCTATGTGTGTCTCGATATGTAAATTATGTTTCTTGTAGGCAACAATTCATTGGGTCTTGTTTTTTATCCATTCAGCCACTATCTCTATGTGTTTTGGTTAAAGTTTAGTTCATTTGCATTCAATGTTATTATTGAGAAGTAAGGATGTACTCTTGCCATTTTGTTACCTGATTTCTGGTTGTTGTGTGGTCTTCTCTTCCTTCTTTCCTTTATTCCTGTCTTCCTTTGAGTGAAGGTGATTTTCTCAACTGGTGTGTTTTAATTTCTTACCTTTTAATTTTTGTGTATCTGTTGTATTTTTTTTTATTTGAGGTTACCATGAGGCTTAGAAATAACACCTTATGTAAAGAAACAAACTAACAAAGAGAAAACTAATAAAAACTCTATACTTTAAGTTTATCCTGTGTGTGTCTTGAAAAGTTTTGTGTAATAATATCTTTAATAGGTTCATCTTTTAATCATACTCAACATATGAGTACTTTACACATCACCATTACAGTATTACAGTATTCTGTGTTTATCCATGTACTTAATGTTGCTAGTGAGTTTTGTACCTTCAGATGATTTCTTATTGCTCAGCAATGTCCTTTTCCTTCAGATTGAAGAACTCCCTTTATCGTTTTTCGTTGGACAGGTGTGATGTTGATGAAATCCTTCAGCTTTTGTTTGTCTGGGAAAGTTTTTATTTCTCCTTCATGTTTGAAGGATATTTTCACCAAATACACTATTCTGGAATAAAAATGTTTGATTTTCTTTTTTCTTCAGCACTTTAAATATGTCATGCCACTCTCTCCTGTCCTGTACGGTTTCCACGAAAAGTCTTCTGCCAAATGTATTGGAGCTTTTTTGTATGTTATTTGTTTCTTTTCTCTTGCTGCTTTTAGTATCCTTTCTTTATCCCTGACCTTTAGAAATTAGATTCCTAAATGTCCTAAGACAATCTTATTTGGGTTAAATCTGCTTGGTTTTCTATAACAGTCTTGTACTTGAATATTGATATCTTTCTCTAGGTTTGGGAAGTTTTCTGTCATTATCCCTTTTATAAACTTTCTACTGCAATCTTTCTTTCTCTCTCTACCTCCCTTTTAGTAACTCTTAGATTTGAGGCTATTTTCTAGTCCTTGTAGGCACACTTCATTCTTTTTTGTTCTTTATACTTTTGGTTCCTCAGGCCGTATGTTTTCAAGTAGCTTGCATTCAAGTTCACTGATTCTTCTACTTGATCAATTCTGTAATTGAAAGATTTTGATGCTTTCTTCAGTATACCTATTGCATTTTTCAGCTCCAGAATTTGCTCAATTCTTCTTAATTATTTCAATCTATTTGTTATCAATAGGACTCTGAATTCCTTCTCTATGTCATTGAGCTTTCTCAAAACAGTTATTTTGAATTATCCATCTGAAAGGTCACATGTCTCTATCTCTCCAGGATTTGTCATTGGTGCCTTATTAAGTTCGTTTGGTGAGATGATTTTCTTGGATTGTCTGAATGCTTGTAGATGTTCATTGGTGTCTCAGCATTAAGGAATTAGGTATTTATTATAGTCCTTTCAGTCTGGGCTTGTTTGTTCCTGTCCTTCTTGGGAAGGCTTTCCAGGTATTCAAAGGGACTTGAGTGTTGCGATTTAAGTTTTTGGCCACTGCAGCTATATCTGCGTTAGGGTGCACCCTAAACCCAGTAATGCTGTCACTCTTGCAGACTAATAGAGGTACCATCTTAGTGATCATGAATAAGATCTAGAAGAATTCCCTAGATTACCAGGCAGAGACTCTTGTTATTTTCCCTTACTTTCTCCCAAACAAATGGAGTATCTCTCTCTGCTGAGCTGCCTAGAGCTGGAAGGACAGATTACAAGTACCCTTGTGGCCATCACCACTAGGACTTCACTGGGTCAGATACAAAATCAGCACAGCACTGCGTCTTGCCCAAAGCCCACAATGACCACTGCATTGCTACCGCTGATGCTCACTCAAGGTCCAAGGGCTCTTCAGTCAGCTTGTGGTGAATGCTGCCATTCCTGAGCTTGTCCCTTCAGGACAATGGGCTCCTATTTGGCCCAGGGCAGGTCCAGAAATGCCATCCAGGAAATAAAGCCTGAAATTGGGGACCCCAGCAGCCCACTTAATGCTCTACCCAGCTGTGGCTGAACTAGTACCCGAGCTGTAAAACAAACTCCTCTTTACTCTTCCCTCTTCTTTCTTCCGCTAGCCACCACAGCTGGGAATGTGCTGGCTCACACCTGAAGCCAGTACAGCTCTGTCTCACCCAAGGCTTGCAGCAAGTACTGCCTGGCTACCACTGCTGATTATTCAGACCTCAAGGGCTCTTTAGATAGCAGGCGATACTGTCAGGACTGGGTTCTTCACTTCAAGGCACTGGGTTCCCTCCTGGCCTAGGACGTGTTTAGAAATGACATCTGGTAGTTAGGGCCTGGAATGGGGACTGCAGGAGTCTCCCTGATGCCCTATTCTACTGTGGCTGAGTTGGTATCCAAGTTGCAAGACAGAGTCCTCTTTATTCTCCTTTCCTGTCTCCTAAAGCAGAAGGAAGGAATCTCTCCAGTAGCTGTGAGCTGTGCTGCCTTGGTTGGACTGAGGGATGATGCAGGCACTACCTTGGACACCCCAGCTGGTATCTCACTAGTTCATGTGCACCCCAAGTCCACTGACTATAAGCCTAGCACAGCACCAGTCCTTGCTCAGGAATTACAGTCACTGTGGCCTTCACTGCTTTTTAAGTTTATTAAGAACCCCAGGGCACCTTAGCCCATAGTGGCAAGGATTGCCAGAACTCAGATTCCTACCTCTGGGATGGACTACTGGCCTCTGTCCAGGGCTGGTCCAACTGTTCCCTCCAAGCATGCTGGCTGAGTTCTGCCCCATTTTGCTTTCCACCATGACAGGGAAGCTCCAAGTTCCAGTGCAGTCACGCAATCAGTGCACTCTCCCTCCCTTGAGTGCACCGATTCTCTCTCTCTGCAAAATATGGCCACTGTTGGGGAGTGGAAGGGCATGGTGGAGGCCATTTAGGACTGTCTTTTATAACCTCTCCAGTGCCTTCTTCCTTATCATGATGTTAAAACCAGGTACTGTGATCACTCACCTGATTTTTGGTTCTTATGAGGGTGCTTTTTTTGTGTGGATACTTGTTCAATTTGATGTTCATACAGGGTTGGGGGACAATCATTGGAGGTTTCTCTTCAGCATCTTGCTGCACCTTTGTCTCCCTAATCTCCCTTGTTTCTGATAAGAAGTCATTGGCTATCTAATTGTGATTTCCTTATATCTAATAGGTCATTTTTCTCTTGATGATTTCAAGATTTTATCTTTGTCTTTGGCTTTTACTTGTAGACTATGATATGTCTAAGTTTGGTTCTCTTTTTATTTATCCTGTGTAGAGTTTATTGAGCTTTTTGAATGTGTAGATTAATTTTTATCAATTTTGGGATATTTCAGCCAATATTTCTTCAAATATTTTTGTGCCCTTTTCTTTTTCTCCTCTCATTCTTAAACTCCCATTACATATATATTGGTACACTTAATGGTTTTCCAAGGTCTCTGAAGTTCTATTAACTTGTTTGCATTCTTTTTATTTTTATTATTCAGATTAATAATCTCTATTGGTATATCTTTGGATTTCCAATTCTTTCTTTTGCTGGCTCCAGTTTGCTGTTGAGTCTTTATAATGATTTTTAAAATTTAAGCTATTAGGCTTTCAACACCAGAATTTCCACTCTCAAGTTGAGTAATTGTTATAACAATTTTTTTTAATTCTTTCAATGTGATTTCCTTTAGTTCACTGAACATTTTTTACAACAGTTGTTTGAATTTTTGTCTTCTCTCACGAAAATCTAGATCTCTTAAGAAACTATTGCTTTTGATTGCCTTTTTTCCTGTATATGGGTCACACCTTCCAGTGTCTTTGTCTGTTTAATAATTTTTGTTAAATGGCCTGGCATGGTTGCTCATGCCCATGATCCCAGCACTTGGGAGGCCAAGGTGGGCGGATCACTTGAGGTCAGGAGTTCAAGACCAACCTGGCCAAGGTGGTGAAACCCTATCTCTACTAAAAATACAAAAAATTAGCCAGGCATGGTGGTGTGAACCTGTAATCCCAACTACTCAGAAGGCTGAGGCAGGAGAGTTGCAGGAACCTGGCAGGCAGAGGTTGCAGTGAGCTGAGATCGCACCACTGCACTCCAGCCTGGGCAACAGAGCAAAACTCTGTCTCAAATAATAATAATAATAAATTTTCTTAAGAATTGGTCATTTTAGGCTATACGTACAATCAACTCTGGATTCTGAATCCCCCTCAGGGATTGTTATTGTTCTTTTTTTTCTTTTGTTTGTTTAGTGACTATTTTGGACTGATTCTATAGAGTCAATTCTGTAGTGTATTGCTGATACCTCTATTCATGTTTTTGTTATCGTTGTCATCCTCATTTTTATTTTTAAAACTAGATTTCCTGGGGTCACATCTGGGTCCATATAGCTAATTATTCAGTCAGTGATTGGTCAGAAGTTATGCTTGAATGCCTTGAGCTATTATACCTTCTAACTTTTGCTGATGAATGTTTGGAGAATGCATACAATGTTTAGATATACAGTGTTTAGCTGACGTTCAAGTGTTCTCATGCATTGCCTTTCTGTGAGTACAAGTTCGGTCTATGTAGTCATCCTCTCTGGTCTCTCCCCAGCATGTATGCAGCCTTTCTGACTACCAGGTATACATGGCACATATCAAGTTCTTCTATAACTAACTTATTCCCCAACTCTTCCTGTAAAGTTTCTAGATGATCTGCAGATCTAGTGTATTCCCCGTGTGTATCACAATCTCAGAGTAACTGCAATGTTAGCCTTCCCTGATTTTTGCCACCAAGGTCAAATTGTGTTTGATAGCACTTTCACGGTGAGTTTTTTCATGCTCCAAATCAAGTCATCTCTCCAGCATAGGACCATTGTCTTCACAGTCTACCTTATCCTGGTAGAACTAGAATACCACAAATCTGGTCTGGGGATGATTTGAGTTGCCCCAGGCTACAATGCCACATACTCTATTACAGTGCTTACAATGAGTCATTTTTCTTGAATAAATACTTCTCTTCCTGTTTTTATGCATTTGGCAAATATCCAAACTTCCAAACTTTTGGGGAAGATTTAGTCTTTTTTTTTTTTGAAGATGTAGTCATTGTATTTGGGGAAAAGAATTTTCAGAATTCCTCATTCAGATATTCTGGAATTCCCAGCTCTAAATATTAAGTTTAATAAACTCTTTGAACATAGAGGCTGAGAGGCTGATCTTTTCTCAATGTCTCTGCAGTGAGGAAAATTTTTCACCCAGTTTTCTCATTGACCTTTATAATCATCACTTCTAGATATATGTAAAGATCCCTCTGGATTGTTTATTCTTTCTTTATATTTTATCCCAGATCTCTGGCATTTGATCTTCTGGGATTTCAAGTGTAAAGATTTTGTTTCATTGAGGCTTGTGGAGAAGCAGCTTTCCCAACAAATGGGGAAATGGCTGCCTGAAAATAAAGCCAACACTAGAAATATTATAAACTAATTATAGTTTCTAGTTAGATACAGAGCAACCAAGATGTAGCACACTGTTTGAGACTAAATCCAGTCATATGCAAAGCCAGAGCTAACCCTGGACATTTTAGGTAAGTTAGCTGATAAGTTCCTGGATTAGTCTGTTTTCACACTGCTGATAAAGACATACCCATGACTGAGCAATTTACAAAACAAAGAGTTTTAATGGACTTACAGTTCCACGTGGCTGGGGAAGCCTCACAATCATGGCAGAAGGTGAAAGACACATCTCATATGGTGGCAGATAAGAGAAGAGAGCTTATGCAGGGAAACTCCTGTTTTTAAAACCATCAGATCTCATGAGACTTATTCACTTTCATGAGAACAGCATAGGAAAGACCCACCTTCATGATTCAATTACCTCCCACTGGGTCCCTCTCACAACATGTGGATATTCAGGATGAGATTTGGGTGGAGACACAGATAAACCATATCAGCTCCTTTATGTTGCAAGCTAGCATGATCTGTAAAGGCTAGATTTCTGTCACTTGCAAGTTAAAAAAATCCTGATCTATTTTATATATATTATATACACACACATGTATATATAATAATACAAACTATTCTCTTTAATTTCCCTTATCACAGTTTTAATATTATATTTGTATCTGTGATAGTTTTTTCTTCTCTCAAATGATAAGCTCCAAGGAGAAAAATATGTGTTTTATCCAACATGCCTATTTCTATAAGATATTTATCATTTTTTCTGTCCAGCTTCCAATACCCCTGCCTACTTTATTGAATGATGCACTGTGCCATCTTACACAGAGTCCTATGGAAACTGAAAGAGGCTGGGGCAAATTCTCCCTCTTCCTGCCCTCCAAAAACCAGGGTGAAACATGTGCCCTGGGTTTGGCCAGTTAGACATTTGTATTCTCATCTTTGAATTTTGCTTTAGTGACACAGAAACAGAGAGTTAGAATCTAATTCACAGCATCAACAATGATGTTTCTCAGGAATTCCAACATCATCCTGACCAAAATCTTATTGTTTACATGTTAGCTCTCAAGCAACCTGGGTTAATCTTATTATCTTTCAGTCTCACTACTGCAACTTCCAGGCTGTTTATTCTGTGTACCCCTGCTGCATTTCCGGAAAATTTCCTTTTTCTCTTAGACAGACAAATTTTGTTAGCGTTGCCTGCCTCCAGAAAACCTGACCAATAAATCAGAGAAAATTCTGTGATTAGCACAGAATATGAAGTCAAAAAATAATTATTAGAGCTTTGATAAAGATAATGATTTGGGGGAGAAAATATTATGTTTCTATTTGGCTGGGTTTTTTTCTTTGCACTGAATTCAATTCCATAAATATGTATGAAAAGCCACTGTAATAAGCTCTCTGAAGTATACAGACATGAGTAAAACACAGTAATTTATTTCAAAATGTTTATGTTATAATTAAGGACTTCTAAGAGTGAAATTAAAGGGATAAAAGATAAGGCAACTACTGGTTAATTTTCCATAGAATTCTATTTTTGCTAGAATTATTAATAACCAAAGGTGTAATACCTGCAAAGGCTCATCTGAAAATATTTACTGAGAATCTCCTAGTTGCTAGGCATGGGCTAGAGGCTAAAGATACAGCTCAGTGCAGGATAGGCAAACTCATGCTTTAAATAACTTTTATTCTGATGTTTTATTTATTTTTCAAAGACACAAGTTAAATATATAAAATATTATGAAAATCACTTTAAATGGCAAACCACAAACCTGAGAAAACATTTGCAACTCTTTATGTGAGTCATAAAGAGTAACACCTTTAATACATAAAGAAAATTCAGAGATTCAAAAAAATGCTAATTCTCAAGTTGAAAAACGAGCATTACTCCGAAATAATTTATAGAACTATAAATTCCTAATACATACTTGATATCTCATTAGCAATCACATAATAAGAGATAATTTTTATTTACATAATTTGCAATAACTTAGGTAGCATGCTAAATATTAATGATTTTTTGGTCAGACCAGCATTCTCAGACATTATGTTGGTAAGAACTTTGGCAACATTTTTCTGTGCAGCATGTAGCAATCCTAAATTTTCCATTAATAATTCTAGTTCTGAAAATGTGTTCTAATAAAATTAAAATTGGAGCAAAGTTTGCATACAAACATATAACAAGAACAAAATGGAAAAACTGGAAAACACAAGGAAAACAAAACATTCTACTCCAAATCTCCAATCTTATAACTTTTCCTGGAGTTATCCCAAAATGTTTTTCTTCCTTCTCAGAGTGCTATAGGTCTAGTTCCTTGCTTTATTCTCACTTTGTCCAAAATTATTTCATACTTCAGTGTGAGTCAGCAAGTTTTCCTACATTGAAAACCACTTGCATTCTAATTTATGTTTATGCTAATTATCAAATCAGTGTATTCCTCTTTCTTCTGATACATTAAAACTCATTCCAAATACTGAAAACCTCTTTTGAGTGGGTTCCCTTGTCTCTTGTTATTTGATTCTGAATTAAAGTGGGGTACACGGATTGTTCAAAAATACTGTAAAAAGAACAAAGTACTGTTACTTAAGACAGCACCAGTTCAGTGTCACAAAGTATTACCTTTCACTTATCCTTATTTTGTAAAAACTAGTCACCAATTCAGTTATGTTAACATGTTTAATAGGGAACTGATATTACTGTGTATCAGGAAAAGGTTTGAGGCCCTTTTCCTTAAAATAGCAGTTTTTGAGAAAGTGCAGTAATGATTCTAATAACTATAAAAATTTGTAGGGCTTAAAAATCCTTAGCTCTTCCTCTTCTGCTTGGTAAATGGCATTTTGTTCTTTTTTTGGTGAAAATAAAAATGTTAAGAAATAATGTGCACAATATAAAATTTAGAAGCAGTTTTTACTCATTATGTGTGAGGCAAGAGACAGGAAATGGAGTCAAAGAATAAAAAAGTAACACAGAAAATATAAGGTCAGCTGCATCAAGGGCTATTTCTTACAGCATAGTACCTTTATTAAGAATTCTAAATTCATTCAACCATGGTACAATGGAGATGTTTCTTGAAGTAAATATTACTAACATTCTTATTCACTTTACAATTCAAAAATCATGAAATTACTAAGGAGTTCTAGCTGTGCCATGAAATGACTTTTATTCCTTTTATCTTTTTCATAATGTAATGGTTTCCGCACTCACTAAGAGTCTGGATGTCCCACATTAGAAATGAAGAGTTCTGCATTGTGTGTATGAAGTGAAGACTCAGAAGTTACAGCCTGTTCTCCCACCAATGTTCCACTATTTTCACATCTCCTTCCTTTATCCTTTTCCCTGCCATTCTTTATTTAGGAATGTGCCAGGCATTTTACAAATATTATTTCATCAACCCATTTTATAGGTATGCAATCTGAGGCTCAGAAAGCTCACAGACTGGATTCAAGGTTATACAGGTAGTAAGTGATATATTATAGGTTTTTCAGACTCAAAGTTCCACTCTTTTAGTGTGACCAGAAGGAAATCATTTTTATGATTAAGTTTTCAGTGGCTTATTGTTGCAATGGGTTCCACTGAACTGGTGTTAGAGCAGACATTTAATTGCAAATAAGCCAGTCTTGTGCATTTTTCTTTAGAATAGCGTCTGTAGAAGCTGAAAACACAAATACATATTAGGATTCACAGAAATATTTCAAAGACTACAAATATTGGATCACGAACAAAGCAAATCTGTTGTCAAGTGTATACCTGGGAAAATTAATTAAATCAAGTTAGCTATCAATGAGGTTAAACTTGATATGTGTTCAATATAATGTTTATTGAAAGAAAAGCAACCTCAAACATAGAAAGATTCTGACAATTGTAAAACAGAGAAATCAGGCTTAGTTAAATTACTGTGCATCTCCAACAGACACTTTGCCTAGCTATTTATATGCAAATTGAGGAAAATTTCTGTACCAAAAAGCCTTTGTAATTAAAACATAGTTATTTAAAATGCTGACTATAATTTTTAGTTTACAAAACATACTCTAAAAATATTTTATTTTAAATGTTAACAAAGCATAGTACCTGAACACCATATGTTCCCCCTTTTTGCCCAGTAAGTTTTAAATTCAAGACTTCCTGGAAATGTGTAACCAATGTGAATAAAATCTGCTAGCACACTAGTATCAAAGTGCTCTCTCAATTTATAAAGCAAAACCAGGTTATCAAACTGTAGGGCTTATAAGAATTACCAGTAAACCTCAAAAAAGTCACAGATTCCTGCATTCCCCCGTAAGGAGATTCTGATCCAGTAGTACTGTGAGGCCAAGGGGCTGCAGTTTAACACATGTCACAGGTGATACTGATGAAAGTGGTACCGGAACATATTTTCTAGAACTCTGCTTTATAAAACACTGACTGCTTTATGAAATATTAACTTAAGTGGCTCTTTATTTCACATTCTTAGCACCCATGGCAGTTCTTCAATGTCATCCTAATCTTTGCAGTGAAGATTTCATGCAGTGGCCAAATTTTCAATTAAACACAATTCTACTCAAATTTAAATCACACACATCATTTATCACGGCTGCTAAACCTGTTGGTTAAATAACTTTTATGTTCCACTCCAGAGGCACCTCATTTTTGTGATGAATTAAGAGGTCCCTATAAAGTAGCCTTATCTACCTGTTCCTATCTCTCATGAGTGTTTCAAGAGTATATGATCCTCAGATGCTGAGGTTGAAAAGAGAAAACAGAAACAGCAGCATGAAGGGCAAATTAACTGGCTACTTTAGCAGAACAATCAAAGTTGCATTCTATCACAGGGTAGTTGACTGATAATCTAATTCTCCGATTTGTAAGTTAAGGGATTCAATTTTGTCAGAATGGCTCAAATTCAGGAGGGAGGTGGAAAGTTATTTCATAGCAGCAACAAAAACAACAGCAACAAAAGACCAATTGTAATTAAAAAAATCAACAATAATATATCTGAAGAATTAATGGGTACTATGTAAGGCATTCTAATAAGCAAAACATATGCACTTTATCACTAATTTTAAGTTCAAGACTTCTGTACGAGATACATAATAATATTATATATATTTGGTGAATAAAAAACTAGATTAACTAGATGTCCAAGAAACTAGTGGGTGAACTAGAATGCAAATTTACAAATGTGCCATGAGAACTATAACTAGCAAAGTGACCCAAGAGTACTGTCTTCCACTAAAACAATCTACACAGGAAATAAAATTAATCAGAGCAAGGAGAGTGGTTAGTTGAATGAACCTGATAGTTAATGACATCAAACTATGATGGCCTGAGGCATTCATGGAGAGTGCTGGGGAAATGTTGACAAATTTTTCTTCTCAGACTCCCATTTCTTTACACTCAGGCTAACTATCTTCAGGAATATTAATATCATTGATCCACCTATATTTATTTCATATCAATTCAATTCTTGTTATGTGCTCCTGACTGTACCCCCCACCACCCCAACAATCACCTTGATTAGGTGGACCTTTCTTAAATCTCCTCCAGGATAAACCGAGAGACCATTTCACAGGATGAGGTACTTCATCGAATGACTAATATACTACATTACTTATTGATTCTTACTAGTATGGTTCTCGGGGATTAATATGTCCATATTTTAAAACCCTCTCACTTATGCCCATCTACTTATTACATCAGAAACCAGACAATGTAATAAGTACCCTAAGCTATGGTGGAAAATAATTTGTAATCCTATTCAATCAACTGATAAATATTTATTGAGAGTTTACTTTGTATCAGGCAATGTACTAAGTGCTATTTCACTTATTCCATTCTATAAACATTTGTGTCCAGTACTAGAATGTGCTGAACAATGGAAATCTGCAAAGAATTTACTCAGTAATACACTTAAAAACCAACCAACCAACCAAATAAAATACATCCCATATGAAAAACTGGTTGGGACTATAAAGACCTCTGGAATTCACCATGATTTTTTTACTGATTTTTTTAATAACCTTTTTAATTTAGAGTAGTTTTGTCTTTACAAGAAAGCTGCACTGATAGTACAGAGAGACTTCATCTACCCCTTACTTAGTTACTTCTACTGTTAACATCTTATACTACTGTGGTACATTTGCCTCAACTAAGGAGCCAACACTGGCATATAAGTATTATCTAACCTCCACAAATTATTTGGAATTTACTAGTTTTTCCTTCATGTCTTTTTCTTATTCCTTGACCCCATTCAGGATAGCACATTATGTTTAGTCATTATGTCTCCTGGTGTGTGATAGTTTGTTATATTTTATCTACTTTTGATGACATTGACAGTTTTGAATAGTACTGGTCAGGCATTTTGTAGAATATTCTCGTTTTGAGTTTACCTGATGTTTTTCTCGTTTTTAGACTGGGATTATGGGTTTTTTGAGAAGAAGACCACTGAGGTAAAGAGCCATTCTTGTCACATCATATCAAGGACACATTACTTATCACTCATGATGCTAACCTTGACCATCTGATCAAGGTAGTATTTGCCAGCTTACTCCACTGTAAAATCATTCTTTGTTTTCCACCTGATTTTATATCAATTTTTGGAAGTAATTTATTAAGCATACCCACATTTTAGTGGGGAAAAGAGGCAGGAGGTGTCAATTTCCATCTCTTGGAGAGAAATAGATAACCAATCCACATAAATTACCTGGACCTCTTCCGTATAAGAGATTTTCCCCTTCTTCCCCATTTAATTTGTATCAGCCTTGATATTTTTTAATGGATATTAATTTCTTACTTTGGGTTTTAATCCGATAATCTGCTTTTTATTTTAGTGCTTGAATTGTTCCAGCTTAGGCCATTAAGCGCTCTTCCACATTGTCTCCTGTGTCCCTTCCACATCTACCAACCTTTTGTTTTTTTTTTTTTTTTTTGAGTACTTTCTTATTTTCTAGAATCCTCCTGATTTTGTTTCTGAGTTATTCCCTAATCTTGAGCAAGTCACTTTACTCCTTCATGCATTGGCATTAATTGGTTAAATTAAGTTCTTATTTATCCATTAATGGAAATCACAATGTAGTGAATATCAAAATAAAAGATAAATCCATTTCAAAAATTGCTCAGGGATTATGTTTATTGATTTGTGTATGTTGAACCAGCCTTGCATCCCAGGGATGAAGCCCACTTGATCATGGTGGATAAGCTTTTTGATGTGCTGCTGGATTCAGTTTCCCAGTATTTTATTGAGGATTTTTGCATCGATGTTCATCAGGGATATTGGTCTAAAATTCTCTTTTTTTGTTGTGTCTCTGCCAGGCTTTGGTATCAGGATGATGCTGGCCTCATAAAATGAGTTAGGGAGGATTCCCTCTTTTTCTACTGATTGGAATAGTTTCAGAAGGAATGTTACCAGCTCCTCCTTGTACCTCTGATAGAATTCGGCTGTGAATCCATCTGGTCCTGGACTTTTTTTGGTTGGTAAGCTATTAATTATTGCCTCAATTTCAGAGCCTGTTATTGGTCTATTCAGAGATTCAACTTCTTCCTGGTTTAGTCTTGGGAGGGTGTATGTGTCAAGGAATTTATCCATTTCTTCTAAATTTTCAAGTGTGTTTGTGTAGAGGTGTTTATAGTATTCTCTGATGGTAGTTTGTATTTCTGTGAGATCGGTGGTGATATCCCCTTCATCATTTTTTATTGCGTCTATTTGATTCTTCTCTCTTTTCTTCTTCATTAGTGTTGCTAGCAGTCTATCAATTTTGTTGATCTTTTCAAAAAACCAGCTCCTGGATTCATGGATTTTTTGAAGGGTTTTTTGTGTCTCTATCTCCTTCAGTTCTGCTCTGATCTTAGTTATTTCTTGCCTTCTGCTAGCTTTTGAATGTGATTGCTCTTGCTTCTCTAGTTCTTTTAATTTTGATGTTAGGGTGTCAATTTTAGATCTTTCCTGCATTCTCTTGTGGGCATTTACTGCTGTAAATTTCCCTCTACACACTGCTTTAAATGTGTCCCAGAGATTCTGGTATGTTGTGTCTTTGTTCTCGTTGGTTTCAAAGAACATCTTTATTTCTGCCTTCATTTCGTTACGTACCCAGTAGTCATTCAGGAGCAGATTGTTCAGTTTGTATGTAGTTGAGCGGTTTTGAGTGAGTTTCTTAATCCTGAGTTCTAGTTTGATTGCACTGTGGTCTGAGAGACAGTTTGTTATAATTTCTGTTCTTTTACATTTGCTGAGGAGTGCTTTACTTCCAACTATGTGGTCAATTTTGGAATAAGTGCTACAAGGCTATAGTAACCAAAACAGCATGGTACTGGTACCAAAACAGAGATATAGACCAATGGAACAGAACAGAGCCCTCAGAAATAATGCCACGTATCTACAACTATCTGATCTTTGACAAACCTGACAAAAACAAGAAATGGGGAAGGATTCCCTATTTAATAAATGGTGCTGGGAAAACTGGCTAGCCATATGTAGAAAGCTGAAACTGGATCCCTTCCTTACACCTTATACAAAAATTAATTCAAGATGGATTAAAGACTTCAATGTTAGAACCTAAAACCATAAAAACCCTAGAAGAAAACCTAGGCAATACCATTCAGGACATAGGCATGGGCACAGACTTCATGTCTAAAACACCAAAAGCAATGGCAACAAAAGCCAAAATTGACAAATGGGATCTAATTAAACTAAAGAGCTTCTGCACAGCAAAAGAAACTACCATCAGAGTGAACAGGCAACCTACAGAATGGGAGAAAATTTTTGCAAGCTACCCGTCTGACAAAGGGCTAATATCCAGAATCTACAAAGAACTCAAACAAATTTACAAGAAAAAAAAAACAAGCAAACCCATCAACAAGTGGGCGAAGGATATGAACAGACACTTCTCAAAAGAAGACATTTATGCCGCCAACAGACACATGAAAAAATGCTCATCATCACTGGCCATCAGAGAAATGCAAATCAAAACCACAATGAGATACCATCTCACACCAGTTAGAATGGCAATCATTCAAAAGTCAGGAACAACAGGTGCTGGAGAGGATGTGGAGAAATAGGAACACTTTTACACTGTTGGTGGGACTGTCAACTAGTTCAACCATTGTGGAAGTCAGTGTGGCGATTCCTCAGGGATCTAGAACTAGAAATACCATTTGACCCAGCCATCCCATTACTGGTTTATAAATCATGCTGCTGTAAAGACACATGCACACTTATGTTTATTGCGGCACTATTCACAATAGCAAAGACTTGGAACCAACCCAAATGTCCATCAATGACAGACTGGATTAAGAAAATGTGGCACATATACACCATGGAATACTATGCAGCCATAAAAAATGATGAGTTCATGTCCATTGTAGGGACATGGATGAAGCTGGAAACCGTCATTCTCAGCAAACTATCACAAGGACAAAAAACCAAACACCACATGTTCTCACTCATAGGTGAGAAATGAACCATGAGAACACATGGACACAGGAAGGGGAACATCACACACCAGGGCCTGTTGTGGAGTGGGGGGTAGTGGGAGGGATAGCATTAGGAGATATACCTAATGTAAATGACGAGTTAATGGGTGCAGCACACCAACATGGCACATGTATACATATGTAACAAACCTGCACGTTGTGCACATGTACCCTAGAACTTAAAGTATAATAAAAAAAATTGTTCAGGGAATAAAGAAAATGAACATAGAAGTACAGCTTTTTTCTTAAAAAACAGTGTCAAGTTATAAAATGGAAAGGGGGAAAGGTAGAACTTAGAATACACAGAAATGAAGCAAAGCGTGGCTAATGGCTTATTGGTGGGTCTTCTAATCAGACAGTCTTGCTGATTGTGGGGTACTCAGCTTTAAACTGACTGCTTTTGCAGCTTCTCACATGGATACCCTTCATGTCCTTCAGGACATAATTTACCATCCCTGATAGAAATGTGAATCAGGGCCTTCTGGAAAAATTGAAGATTTTAATGTGAGTCCATGCTTTTGGCCCCCTTTGGTCAGGTGTCAAAAGAAGCTACAAGATAAGGCTCCAATCTAGACTACTGTCACGTTGCCCATTAGGAAATGAGACAGCAGTTTGGTGATTTTATTCCGTTTCTACCCATGCCCATCTATTGTATGTGCCATGTGTCAAGGTAGCAGCTATGGGATAGCTTTTAAGGCTCTGTACACTTAGTTATTACAGTAGTACAAATAAACATAACAATAAATAAGAGGGTCCTGGAAATATTTTAGAGTCATACTACTAGATTTCTCACATTAAACCAGAAATACAGGTTTCATTCTTGATCGGGTACTTTAGAGACAGATAATGGGGTACCAACAAGATTCCCAAGTTTAAAAAATCTTATTGGCTCTTTTTCTACTTTCAGAGGTGACATTAGTTCTAATATCATCATATTCTATTTTACTATCATGCTTATTTTTCTCAGTGATTTAGGGCTAAGAGACATCTAAAGAAATAGGAACAATAGCTGGCTGCAGTGGCTCATGCCTATCCCAGCACTTTGGGAGGCCGAGCTGGGGGGATCACGAGGTCAGGAGTTCGAGACCAGCCTGGCCAAGATGCTGAAACCCTGTCTCTATTAAAAATACAAAAATTAGCCAGGTGTGGTGGCAGGTGCCTGTAATTCCAGCTACTTGGGAAGCTAAGACAGAGAATTGCTTAAACCCGGGAGGTGGAGGTCGCAGTGAGCTGAGATCGAGCCACTGCCCTCCAGCCTTGGTGACAGAGCAAGACTACATCTCAAAAAAAAAAAAAAAAAGAGGAAAAAAAAGAAATAGGTACAACATACTTCTCCCCAAAAAAGGACATATTTCTTTTGTGAGGCAAGTATACCAGTAAAGTGGCTCCAAATACTACCTGTTCAATCCCAGTGAATTAGTGCTGCTAATTTGGGGACAATTTGTTGAATCTTGTGAATCACCCACATAGCATGATGTGTGGCAAGTTGGGGGCAAAAGGAGGACTGACAGTGAATTAGGGATTCTTGCATATATATCAAGTATTTCATACAGAATAGAGTAAAATTATTTTTACCTACCTCAAAATAAAAAAAACGAATGAATGTTTGTTTATTATGCATGGTGGAATACAGACAGATCTGGGTCCAGATTTCTATGCTGCTGCTTACTAGTCGTTTCACTTTACCGAAGTAATCTCTTGCAGTCTCTGTTTTCTTATCTGTCAAACTCTTTCAGAGTTAATATGAGGATTAAGCAAAATAAATGTGTCATTCATGTCCTTTAGGACATCATTTAATCTACCACCCTGTTAGAAATGTAGGTTAGGGTCTTCTGGAAAAAAATGAACTTCTGGTCATCAATACATGTGGAAATTTCTCCCCATCAATAACCAGTTCTCCAGGGAGCACCAGAAGGGATCCTGTGTTTCAATTCAATTCTGATACTACCTACCTGGAGGTAGCGTCAGATCCCACATGTTAAGGGCTCATTCCTGTAAGACTGACCTCACTCCACAAGACTGATCCCACTTCAAATGCCAGTCACAAGCCCTGGGTTGTAGCCTGTGCTTCTGAACAACCATCTATAATCATGGTTTCCCCAACTGCCTCCTCCAAGGTCCAGTAATTTGCTAGAGCAGCTCACAGAACTTGGGGAAATATTTTGTTTACTATTTCCACGTATTACTAAGGATATTACAGAGGATACAGATAAACAGCCACATAGAAGACATATATAGGCCCAGTAGGGGCAAGGGACTGGGAGCTCTCATGCCCTCTCCAGACACACCACACTTCATGCACCTCATGTGCTCAGCATCCTGGAAGCATTCCAAAACCTGCAGTTCAGGATTTTTATGGAAGTTTCATCATTGGAGGCTGGATTGATTATTAATTCAATCTCCAGCACCTGCCTCTTCCTGTAGGATGGGGGTTAGGTTTAAAAGTTTCAAGCTTCTAACCACGTCTAGGTTTCTCCGATGACTAGCCCCCAGCCAGGAGTCCACCAAGAGTCACCTCATTGGAACAAAAGATGCTCCTATTACCCAATAAATTCCAAAGAATTAGGAGCTCCTTGTCAAGAATGGAGGTCAAAAACCAGATATTAGAACAAAAGATGCACCTAGCATCTCCCATTGCTCAGAAATAAGGACTTTTAGGAGCTCTCTTTTAAGAACAAGGAACAGAAGCCATATATATATAAAATTATATATATATATATCTTATTATAGCACAATATCACAACTACCTTACAAATACCTGCCTCAGTATTAGGCCTGGGTGAGACAAAGATATACAAATATATACTCTCTGGGCCTGAGAGTTTCTCAGTCAGTCTTTCAGGAAACAGCTTTTCACTCAGATGGTTTCATTGAAAACATGTCAATGAAGCAATATTTGAAGGGATAGAGTTATGAAAAATCAACAGAAATGGACAGTTCCTCAAAAACAAATCTCTTTCTTTGTATATGTATCCTATTGGTTCTCTTTCTCTGGAGATTACTGGCTGATATAACCTTTAGACTTTCTTAGAGTTTATTTTTTAACCTCTGGCATGCATGGGTCTTTCTAAGGCATCTAAGGTACTTACTGATTTCTGATCCCCAGGTCCAATTGGCATAAATAATACCCGAGCATCTTTTTTTTAGACTTTATTTAATTTCAAAGGCTTTTTAAATGTATTATCTCAGATCAAATTTTGACCACTTCATACTTGCTCAATATATTTATTTTTATAAAAATAATGAATTATTTTTCCATGTCTCTTAAGGGAACAGGTTAAAGTTTTGAAAATAAAAGAAAGAAAAGCAAGAAGTTAAAGGGATTTGTTTGTTAGAATCTTAGATAATTTTTAGAATGCTCTAAGTTTCTTGAAAAAGTCTCTCTGAAGTAAGAAATTTCATCAAATATGTTTGGAAAAATAAGTTTCAGGAAAATATTATCTTTCTATGATGCAAACTCACATTATTTGTTCCTGGAATAAATTCAAAAGTCCTTCATAGTCCTTTGATCTACCAAAAGCCAGATGTACAGATACTCTTATAGTCTTCTGTGACTAAGTCACTGTTGTTTAACATGGAGTCTTCTTGGTCATCTTATGCCACCTGGCAGACACATAATTGGCCCTACTAACATCATTATCATTTACATCTTTAGAATTAATTCTTGATCTCCTATATTTAATATTTGGCTCATAGAAGGTACACAATATATATTTAGGAATTGAGGGGAAAAAGGAAGGAAGTACACAACATATAATATTTAGCAACATTTATGAGAAAGCTAACTGGTCTACATGCTTGAAGGGACTGAGCTGATATACTCTTCCTCTTCATTTTTCCTCCCTCGCAAGGATCTGGTTTTGGGAAGCCATATTTCCAAACACCTACACATACTTAAGTGCATACTTCTTTCCCTCATGATTTGTAGTCAGTGATTTGAACTGTTTTGGTCCATCACTGTTGGAAACATGCATTGATCAGTCATTTATAGTTTCCATAGAGAAACGATGGCATTCTTTAAAAGACAGAATTGGACAGCAGCTTAACGAGATGTTCATATAAGATGCTTTTGTTCAAAGACATGAAAATTTGGCAGCTATGATTGAGCAACTTGGTGGAGCAGGAAGGCATTGCTTAAATGTACCTAGCTATTCTCAGAGGCCTTCTTGACCTTGTCTAATAGTTCCCTGATGAGACTACTGATAAAATTGCAGTCTGGTTTTTCAAGTGTGCCAAAACTCCTAATAGCCCGCTCAGCTCTCAAATACAGTTCTCTTTAGTTTGTCTTCTTGATTCCCTTTATTCTGGCTTTTGTCTCTTCCAAAAACTCTGCCTAACTAACCTTGAGAAAAGTAATTATGCCCTCACTATTGATTAGGAAGGATCCATATTTAATTATGTGTAACATGTTCCACTATCAAACTTTCACCCTAGCTCATGAGTGCCTAGCCAGTCCTATTGCTATGTGCTACATCAGCCATTTGGTTAATGATCTTTCTTACAAAGTGTTGAGTTTCCCCCAGTTCTTGTATTTTATGAAAAATCCTGTCATTTTTTAAGGCCATGGTTGAACCCTTTCATAATGCCTTCCTTAAAGAATGTTTCTTTAATGCAAAGAAAAGCATTGTTGAGCACAATGTGCATGTTTTGTAGTAGCTCTCAGTGATTCATATGTACCATTAGGTAAAATCCTGAGATTAGAGTCCCTAAAGTTCAAATACTAGCTGTGTCAGAATCAATTGCAAAGTAACTGATTCTGTTAAATCATGAACACGGTCAGTTTATTCAGAAGAAAACTGTTTTCTGCACAGTCCCTTTTGCATGAAAAGAATGTGTGCCATTTCTTTTAACAATTAAACAGAAATCTGTTTTCTTTACCTCTAGAATTTTACTTCTAAATGTTATTAGTCTCTTTAAATGAATCAGTTTATCCTAAACTGCTAAGAATTACACAAAGTTGTTTAGCTATAATCAATCCATTAAAATGATCAAATAATACAAAATGTCATGCTTTCACAGAGTTTGTATGATATTAATAGCATCATATAATCTATTCTTGCCAAATAATAATGTTCCACTGATGCTTATTAAATTATGTTTTCCAATGCAATAGATATTGAAGATGTCTAAAATATTGGGCAGGGTGGGATAATACACAGTGTACTGTAATGTTTTTAGGCAAATGATCTCATCCATGATATTTAAACATGAGAGCAAATTTCAAATAAATACAGACTATTAGAAGTTGTTATTAACCTGAACGTTGTGCACATGTACCCTAGAACTTAAAGTATAATAAAATAAATAAATAAAAGTTGTTATTTAGGGCGATCATAAACACAAAGAGGAATAATTATTATTAATATACAATACTTGAATGAAAGTTCTGTGCTTTAGCAGTGTAATGATTAAAGACGGAATATTGTTCCACAGAAGAGTTCAACATTAAAGTATTCAGTCCTATGATGGTGTCAATTGAAACTAATTATATGGAGAGACACCTTGAAAATTACTTGATACTTAAATTATTGTTACTGGGTCTAGTTGTAGCATGGATTATATTTGAGTGCATCTAACTTTTTCTGAGAACTCTTTGTGAACCATTGGACTATAGGTTAACAGAAAAACTTAATTAACCTTGAAGAGGTGAGCCCTTTACTTCTATGAGGTAGCAAATCAAGTTGTATCTGTATATATAAGACAAAGTGGAAATATGACAGTGTTCTATCTAATATGATCAATATAGAAAATTAGATTTTTATGGTAGAGGCATCTTATCGAATAGTCTACACTCACTACTAATCTGTCAGACATTTTTCAACTATGGGTCTACCACCACAGATATAATGAAAGTCAATTCTCAAATGTAGGGTGTTCAATTATCAAAATCACTAGGATATTGTTTAATATCATCTTTCCCTATCATCAAGTTTCACAAAACTTTAAAGTTTCACAAAAGTTATCCTTTAAGCTTTGTTAGACATCATAGATTTCTTTCCCTAATTCTCCCCCAGTGTGTATCTACCTGTGATTTTGGTGGCTTCTGAGAGTTGCAAAGTCCAGTTTATTACAAAATGTATTATAGAAAGCTCAAAAGTCCTGTTAAAGTCCCAGGACTGAGAATGCTGTGCTGAATACACCAGTAAACTGTGCCCAGTACCCCAGAGTGTTGCTGCAATACACAGATGCACAGATGCAGTCCAGGGCCACCCTAGCCTTGGACTCTTGATAGTTCTTGTATTAGTTCATTTTCATGCTGCTAATAAAGATATATCCAAGACTGGGCAATTTACAAAGAAAGAGGATTAATGGACTTACAGTTTCACATGCCTGGGGAGGACTCACAATCATGGTAGAAGGCAAGGAGGAGCAAGTCACAACTTACATGGATGGTGGCAGGCAAAAACAGAGCTTATAAAGGGAAACTCCCCTTTTTAAAGCCATCAGATCTCATAAGACTAATTCACTATCATGAGAACAGCACAGGAAAGACCTGCCCCAATGATTCAGTTACCTCCCACTGGGTCCTTCCCATAATATGTGAGAATTCAAGATGAGACATGGGTGGTGACACAGCCAAACCATATCATTCTACCCCCGGCCCCAAATCTCATGTCCTCACATTTCAAAACCAATCATGCCTTCCCAAGAGTCCTCCAAAGTCTTAACTCATTTCAGTATTAACTCATAAATCCACAGTCCAAAATCTCATCCGAGAGCAGGCAAGTCTCTTCCACCTATGGTAAAATCAAAAGCAAGTCAGTTACTTTCTAGATATAATGGGGTTACAGACCTTGGGTAAATACAGCTGTTCTGAATGGGAGAAATTGGTCAAAACAAAGGGGCTACAGTCCCCATGCAAGTCCAAAATCCAGCAGGGCAGTCGAAAGCTCCAAAATGATCTCCTTTGACTTCATGTCTCACATCTAGTTCACACTGATGCAAGAGGTGGGTTCCCATGGTCTTGGGCAGCTCCGCTTGTATGGTTTTGCAGGGTACAGCTTCCCTCCCAGCTGATTTCATGGGCTGGCATTGAGTGCCTGTGGCTTTTCCAGGCGTATGGTGCAAGCTGTCAGTGGATCTACCATTCTGGAGTCTGGAGGACAGTGGCCCTCTTCTCACAGGTCCACTAGGTGGTGCCCCAGTAGAGACTCCGTCTGGGGCCTCCAACCCCACATTTCCCTTCCACACTACCCTAGCAGAGGTTCTCCAAGCAGGACCTGCCCCTGCAGCAAACTTCTGCCTGGGCATCTAGGCGTTTCCATACATCTGAAACTTATGCAGTGGTTCCCAAACCTCAATTCTTGACTTCTATGCACCTGCAGGCTCAACAACACATGGAGGTTGCCAAGGCTTGGGGCTTGCATCCTTTGAAGCCATCGCCCAAGCTCTACATTGGCCCTTTTCAGCCACGCTAGAGCTGCTGGGATGCAGGGCACCAAGTCCCTAGGCTGCACACAGCACTGGGACCCTGGGCCTGGCCCATGAAATCATTTTTCATCCTAGGCTTCTGGGCCTGTGATGGGAGGGGCTGCCATGAAGACCTCTGCCATGCCCTGGAGACATATTTCCCATTGTCTTGGGGATTAACATTTGATTCCTCATTACTTATGCAAATTTCTGCAGCCGGCTCAAATTTCTCCTTAGAAAATGGGATTTTCTTTTCTATCACACTGTGAGGCTGCAAATTTTCCAAACTTTCATGCTCTGCTTCCCTTATGAAACTGAATGCCTTTAACAGCACCCAGGTCACCTCTTTAGAATACTTTGCTGCTTAGAAATTTCTTCCACCAGATACCCTAAATCATTGCGAGTCTCAAGTTCAAAGTTACACAAATCTCTAGGGCAGGGGCAAAATGCTGTCAGTCTCTTTGCTAAACCATAACAAGAGTCACCTTTGCTTCAGTTCCCAACAAGTTCCACATCTGATTTGAGACCACCTCAGCCTGGATTTCATTGTCCATATCATTATCAGAATTTTGGTCAAAGCCGTTCAACAAGTCTCTAGCAAGTTCCAAACTTTCCCACATTTTCCTGTCTTCTTCTGAGCCCTCCAAACTGTTCCAACCTCTGCCTGTTAGTTACCCTGGTCCAAAGTCACTTCCACATTTTTGGGTATCTTTTCAGCAGCACCCCACTCTACTGGTACCAGTTTACTGAATAAGTTCATTTTCATGCTGCTGATAAAGACATACCTGAGACTGAGCAATTTACAAAAGAAAGAGGTTTAATGAACTTACAGTTCCATGTGGCTGGGGGGTCCTCACAATAATGGTGGAGGGCAAGGAGAAGCAAGTCACCTTTTACATGGATGGCAGCAGGAATAGAGAGAGAGCTTGTGCAGGAACACTCCTCTTTTTAAAACCATCAGATCTCATGAGACTTATTTGCTATCATGAGAACAGCACAGGAAAGACCTGCCCCCATGATTCAATTCCCTCCCATGGGAAAGATGAAAAAAAAAAAAAAAAAAGGTAACTGAATGAGATGGGAGGGAATGGGAACATATGAGAATCCAAGATGTGATGTGGGTGGGGACACAGCCAAACCATATCACTTCTACCATCACCATAAAGACTCTGTCCCTTGAGAATCAAGCAGCCAGTTGGCTGAATCTAAGCCATATATTCTTGCCTTGGCTGCTGAGGAGCAGGAAGATGTATTATCTGTTCCATTTCAGCCACAATAATTGGAGTTGGGAACCTGTCCAAACTCTTTGGTACTTCTCAAATCTATTCAGTTCTGCAGTGACAAGAGCAACAAACATCCAGTATGGATTCCTGTCTCTGATTAAAACTCTCCAACACCCCTCAATCCTTATTTTAGATTAATCCAGCAACTTATATATGGTCTTCAAGGGTACAAATAGCCTGGGATATGATGTATTTTCCACACTTATTGCTTACTTTACAATTTTCCCTAATTTTCTATCTCATGGTTTAGTACGATTAATTATTTTCAGCTTTGCCAAATCTCCAAGATTTTTAATGTCAGTCTCTATACATAGAATGTCTGTTGAACTCATCTCTTCCCCTTTTGTTTTCACCTTCACCTCCTGTTCCTCTGTACAAACTCCACTTTCAAGAATGCTTCAAACACAAATCTGCTGATATCCCATTCTTTTGGGTAGATTAACCATTTTATCCTTTGTATAGTCATTTCTATAATAGATGTGCTGACATTTTTTACATTTTCTAGTTTTTCATCTTATCATATTATACTATAATAATAGTAAAATATAGTAAAATGACTTTATTTTACAGAGCAGAATCGTCCTTTTCTCTTTTCTCATCACCCTTACTCACAATGCCATTGTTAAAGGCTTCAACATTTTACATACAAAAGATTCATTCAGTTAACAAATATTCTTTGTCTGCCTTTTATGTACTAGGCTATTCCAGGCACAGGGGATTAAAAAAAGTGTGTGAGATAATGTACTTACTCCTATGGAGTGTATATTTCTATATGAAAGAGAGACAATATATAAGCAAGTAAATATCTACAAGATACAGTGTTAAGTGGAGATAATGCTATGAATAAAATAAAGCATGGTAAGGGAATATAGAGTAATATGGAGGAGAGAGAATTGTATAAGTAAGGTGGTCATAAAAGAACATTTAAAGGAAGTTTTATTTGAGCAGAGATCATAATAAAATGAGGCAGAAAAATATGCTGATATCTAGGAAAAGAGCATTCCAGCCAGAGGTAACCATAAATACCAGTCTCCAAAGGAAAGCAAACTTAGTGTGTTTAACAGCAAGACCACTGTAGTTGAAACAGTATAAGCAAAGTCTAAGTATAGGGAAATGTTGCTAAGAGAGATGTGGGCCTTGGTAAGTACTGTGGATTTTATTTTAAGGATGATAGACTTTGAAAGATTTTGAGCAGGATAGCGGCGTTTTCTGATCTATGTCCTTAAAGATCACTCAGAGTAACTATGGAAACTTTGCCATATGGGGCAAGTATACAGGCAGGGAAATCAGTTAGGTGACTACTGCCATTATCTAGGCAAGAGGGATTGCTGGCAGCTTGAATTAGAATGGTAGCCATGGAGTTGGTGAGAAGTTGTCAGGTTTGGGATATAGGAAAGTAAAGTGCCAGCGGGCTTACTGATGGATTAGCCATGAAATATGAAAAAAAAAAAAAAAAAAAGAGTTAAAGGAAATAAGGATGATTACTTTGCATTGACCTGATGAAGTGTGAGTGCCATTATCCAAGATGGGTGGGACTAGGGAAGGAACAGGTTTGGGTTAGGGGATTCCCTTTTAAACATAAAACATTTGAGATTCCCAATAGACTTTATTTATGTATTTGTATTTATGTATGTATTTATTTATTGAGACAGGTTCTCACTCTGTCACCCAGGCTGTAGTGCATGATATCCACTCACCGCAACCTCCACCTCGTGGGCTCAAGGGATTCTCATGCCTCAGCTTCCCAAGTAACTAGAATTACAGGCAAATGCCACCATGCCTGGCTATTTTTTTTTTTTAATATTTTTTGTAGAGACAAGGTTTTGCCATGTTGGCCAGGCTGGTTTCGAACTCCTCGCCTCAGGTGATCACCTGCCTCAGCCTCCCAAAGTGCTGGGATTACAGGTGTGAGCCATTGTGGCTGACTCCAGTAGACTTTAAAGTAGAGATTTCGAGTAGATTTTTGAATGTACAAGTGTAAAGCAAAAGAGAAAGAGAGGGCTTAGAGATAGATATGTGGAGGTCTGATCATATGGCTGATCATTTAAAGCTACTGTTTCAAAAATTAAGTATAGGAGGAAAAGAGTTCAGGGTTCTGAAGGATTCAGTAAAGTAAAAGAAGAGGAGGCTGAAAAAAATAAATACTAAGTCTTTTTTTGAGAGCCAAGAAAATTAAGTGTTTTAGAGTAGGGCAATATTTTCAAGTCCTGCTGAGATTCAGGTTGAGAATGAATGATTTGGCAGCCTAAAGATCCTTGGTAACCTGGGCAAGCGAGAGCTTAGGAACAAAAGCCAGAATGAAGTAGGTTGAAAAGAGAAAGAAAGTAAGGATCCATGCATCTGTCTTCGAAATGGGTCTCTTGTCACGTGCAATTTTTTCTTAACTATCCATAGGCCACTAGCATAGCCTTTGTAAATGTAAAACAAATTGTGAAATTCTGTTGTTTGAATGCATATGCTTCTATTACAAATAGCAACAATTCTCAAATCTTAATGTTTATAAAAGCAGCTGAGGTATGTCTATTATAAATGCTTCCTACTATCATTGATTGTGATTCACTTGGCATGAGAAAAGGCATAGTAACCACATTTTTAACAAACACTTCAGGTAATTTTAGTGTAGGTGATTCAAGAACCTCAGGTAATAGTTAGACCCTTGATTATTTCTCCACTCACTTTACCTGCTCTTACTTCGTCCTAGGATTCTGATTCACCTTCATATTTCTGGAAAACTCTTATTTATCCTTTAAAACTCTGAGGTCACTCCCTTAAGCCACTCTCATATTGTCAGTTGTGGAGCTCAGTAAATATTTGATAAATAAGTGGAATACATACAACCAGCTTTCCTTTGCTTTCAGGTTCAAGCTAACCAAGCCCCAGGTGGTTTAGAAGTTTTTGCCTGTCCCGAGTATTCAGAAAATTCAGTTAACTAAATTCCATTTACATGCAAAATGTTAGTAAATTTCCCCAAATGGGCATGATTAACATTCTTCTCACAGCCAGGACAGACCTACAATTTTCAAATGAGGCTGTTTCTTCTAAATAATTCCAAACATCTCTCTGTATTTCTGAAGGAAATGTCAAATGACTTTGCCCTGGAGTGCATTAGTGATCAGAGCATCTGATCACATTGGTGTCATGACTGAATCAAGGGACATTTCCTTTGATATCAGCCTATTTTAAAAATGGGGATTTCCTCTATTCTAATTTAAGCTCCTAGAAATGGTCCTCTTGCATAACTATACCTCCATCCTGAAGTTGGCTTTTTTGGTTTATTTAAAAAAGAGAAAATTACCTAATTTAGATTTAGTTTTGCTCTTGTTGAAGCAAGTTTTTTTCCCCCTCTGCGCCTCATTTTGTTGTTATTCCTTTAGATCAAACTTCAAAGAAAAAGTCTGATGAATCAACTATTCATTTACTGAAGCTGAATTTTTGCTTGCCACTAGTTTTTCTACTGTGATGCTCCTTTGATTTCTGTTCTGTCTGCATCTTTTATGCCTTTCATGCATGTGGAGAAAATTATAGTGTAGTCTTTACTCAAAAAAGAAATTTCATCATATCCCCAAATCTTGGAAAATTTAAAGTACTTTTCCAAGTTTGAAAATGATTTTAGACAGAAGCCTTAGACACAGAAATTAATAAATAAGTCTATTGTATTCTAAATAATTGAACTTTTCAGTAGCTAAGGCTGCAGAACAGACAGGAATCAATTTCACGAGGGATATCCTAGACTGAACATCAAGTGCAATGTATAGTTCCTGAGCCAGTTATCACCTGGCTTAGAAAAATATTTATTAAAATATAATAAAGTTAAGACCAGTTGGGCAGAAGCAGTACAGTGCAGTGGCCAAGGGTTTAGGATTTTGTAATAGCCCTTATCCTGTTTTTGCCACTACTAGCTCTCAGCTTTTAATGAAGTTAATCATAGTCACCTTTCACTTTTATAAAATGGTAATAATAATATGACCTATTTTGTATATTTGTACTGAGGTTATATCAGATGATTTATATGGCTTGGCACAATTCTTAATTCATAATAATTTAATAAACAGAAACTACTAGTGTTATAATTATTAGTAAGCTTTTGCTAAAATTGTATGTGACCCTGATAACTGGTATAGCCACCAGGACCACCCACAGTTGCTGCCATAGCCCTCAAGGATGTCCACCAGCCATTAGTCCCCAAGATATGAGTCACAGAAGTTTGAGAAGAAGCTGTAGCAGCTTTCTCATGTCTTCACAGAGGAAGTAGATGACAAAGTACCAGGCACTGTTCTCCAAATTCTGATTGAAAGGGCAGTGTTCTATAATATGTTATATATTTTCATGGTGCATACATGTTATTGGATGCTTGCACTACTGCTGTGAATTTTACTTAATAAACTTTGATTAGGTCTTTTTGAGCAGGAAACAAGCCCAGCAAGAAGCTGTCAGGATGTGATTATCCTCATATCTCCCTTATGGCATCTTTTTTAATATCTTATCTTCAGAACTAATAAAATTAAATTTATACAGAACTCAAGAATATGTGTTAGCACTCAAATTTATTCTTTCATGCCCAAGAGTTACTAATACTATTAATAATAATACATAATAATATCATTTTAAAACCAAGAGAATTTTGGTCTTCTTATAGCGTGTATGGTTCTAACAGTATGAATCATCCTAAATTAGATGTGGGTCTTAGCAGCTGTTAACAAAAACCTTTAAACTCAGAATACATACAGCTCCATATTATTACAGCTCCATATTATTTATACACTCTGCATATTTTATGAATAATATCCAATAAAAATGCAGTGAGAAGAGGCCACTGAAGTATGGAATTAAGAATGTAAATAACAACATGACCTGTGAAGTAGATGTATAAGACGAAAGGAATACAACATATGACTAGATGATAGTACAGAAAAGACAGGGAAAATATAAAATAAAACAAGAACTTACATTTTATGATCTTCTTTATCCTTACTTTAAGTAGTAGATTTTCCAAGATGACCAGTTATTGAGCTATAGCTATGTAGCAGATACTGCTGGCACTTTGCTTTACAATCCCTAATTCTCACATCTCTAGTGATCCTCATTATAAATACACTGTATTTAGTATATGAAGTCTCAGGAACTTAGGGGTCTTGCCTAAGATCTAATAGCCTGATGGGCAAAGCCTGAAAGTGAACACATGTTCACTTTTTATATGGATCTAAAAGACACTTTGAGAGTCTGCATATAATCTTAAAAATTAATTCACTTATGATAGGGGATTTGTCACTTTAGTTTGTCTTATGATAATTTGACAAAAATCAAACTTTTGTTCTGTTTATGATATGTTTTTGGGAGAGCCATTAAATCCCTCAAGACTCCAGTTTGTTTATTTGTTCAATAAAGAGGTTAGATTCAATTGAAATTTCTTTTAGGATGAAATTGATGTCATCATTGACAAGTTGCCTCAGCAAATGGCATAACTGATATAAGAAAAGTAGTAGGAAATGTCCTTTAGTTTATCTCACATAATGTATTTAGGTGTGTCATAATGTTCTACTCATTTTTGTTAATCTGTTGTTAGTTATGCTAACGCATGCTCATGATGAATGAAAATATTTGCAGAAAGATTTGTTTTTATTTTATTTTGAATTATAAAGTATTTCACATCTTTATTAGTTTTAAATTTTAAAGAAAATGATATTTTTGAAAGTGTTTTTTTCAGCCTTGTTGCCCTCATAAATTTCATTCTTAGAAACACTTAGTGTAAACTCAGCCTGTCTTTCTATTGCATTATAAATCATGGTTGCTAATACATACAGTTTACCAACCTGGAATATGTAAAGGGTAGATGTGTGCTACATTTCCTTTCAAAAACACTGACTTTGAAATCTAGGTTTAATTTTAAATTGTCATTGAATTTGGACATTTATTTGACTATCTGCCTCATAAAGACTGGATATTAATTTTTATAAGACATTATCATTAATTAACTTCCATGATTAAAGAGACAGCAGTAAATAGCTCTGTTCTCCCATAGCAAAAACATGCATAAAGGACAATAATTCTGGTCCATGAGTAGTGTACCATTGACCTTTGAAAAGTATGGGTTTAAACTGTGTGGGTCCACTTACATGAAAATTTTTTCAATAACTATATTAGAAAAGTTTTTGGAGATTTTTAACAATTTGGAAAAACTCACAGATGAATCATGTGACCTAGAAATACCAAAAAATTAGGAAAAAGTTAGATATGTCATGAGTTCATTAAATATATATAGACATAGTCTATTTTAAAATTTTACTACCATAAAATATGCACAAATCTATTATAAAAAGTTAATATTTATCAAAATTTACACACACAAATATTACAGACCATACAAGGCACCATTTGCAGCTGAGAGAGATGTAAACAAATGTGAAGATGTACTATTAAATTATACCTGCATTAAATGTATACTATAATACATACCATACTACTGCAATAATTTCATAACCACCTCCTGTTGCTATTAGGGTGAGCTCAAGTTTTTCAAGTGTCTGCCTAAAACACCCTGTGACACTAGTTTTCTCTGCGTGAGCAGTTTGTCTCCTCAGTAAATTATGTATTACAGTAAAAAGTAATCCTTTAGGATTCTTGTGTATTTTTTATTTTGTTTAGTGCAATATTGTAAACCTTGACAAACATCCTGGGACCTATATGTAGTGCCACTAGTGATGCTGAAAGTGCTCCCAAGAAGCATAGAAAAGTCATTAAATTACAAGAAAGAGTTGAATTGCTTGACATGTATCATAGACTGAGGTCTGCAACTGCAGTTGCCCACCATTTCAAGGTAAATGAATCCAGCGTTAGAGCTCTTGGTAAAAAAGTAAAGGAAATCCAAGAAGCCCTTGCTGCATCTGCATGAGGAGATGTGAAAACTCTGCCCTTTTTACAAAATATCTTTTTATCTTATATTGAAACTGCAGTATTTACTGTGGGTGCAGGATTACTACAAGAAAGGCTTTTTTATAGATAGACTCTAATATGATTCTAGAAAAAGTGAAGTCATTATGTGACATATATGACAATGTAAAGCAAAAGGAAGGTGAAGGATCTAAAGCTGGAGAATTTAATGCCAGCAAAGGATGGCTTGATAATTTTAGGAAGAGGTTTGGTTTTAAAAATGTCAAGGTAACAGGGTAAGTAGCTTTTGTTGACCAAGAGGCAGTAGATGAGTTCCAAGATGCCATTAAGAAAATTACTGAGGAGAAAAGACTCCTGCCTGAATAGATTTTTAATGCAGACAAAAATGCCCTGTTCTAGGGGATTAAATGCCATAAAGGACATTTATTAGTAAGGAAGGTAAGTTAGCACTAGGATTTAGCCAGGAAGGGATGGGCTATCTCTACTGTTTTGTGCAAATGCAGTCAGGAATATGATCAGTACTGCCTTTATCTATAAAGCTGTTAATCTCTGAGCCTTGAAGGAAAAAGATAAACACAAGCTGCCAGTCTTTGGTTTATAAACAATAATGCCAGCATAAGAACACTTTTTCTGAATTAGTTTCATTGGTGCTTTGTCCCTGAAGTCAGGAAGCACCTTTACAGTGAGGGACTACCTTTTAAAATTCTTTTGATAATGTGCAATGCCCCAGGCCACCCAGAACCCCATCAGTTCAACACTGAAGATGTCAAAGTGGTCTACGTGCCCCCAAACACAATGTCTCTAATTCTGCATCTAGATCACAAGTCATAAGGATCTTTTAACTCTTCACACGTGGTACTCTATAAAAACGATTGTCAATGCTATGGAAGAGAACCCCAATAGAGAGAACATCATAAAAGCCTAGAAGAATTACACCATTGGGTATGTTATCATCATCATAGAAAAGGCCATGAAAGCCATCAAATCCAAAACAATCAATTCCTGCTGGAGAAGACTATGTTGTGCCTGATTTCACAGAATTTATGACAGAGCCAATCCAGGAAATTATGGAACAGACTGTGGCTATGAAAAAAAAAAAAAAAGGTTTTTGTTGCCATTGCTTTTGATGCAAAATTGACAAATGAGATTTAATTAAACTAAAGAGCTTCTGCACAGCAAAAGAAACTATCATCAGAGTGAAAAGGCAACCTACAGAATGGGAGAAAATTTTTGCAATCTATCCATCTGACAAAAGGCTAATATCCAGAATCTACAAGGAACTTAAACAAATTTACAAGGAAAAAAAACACAATACCATCAAAAAGTGGGCAAAGGATATGAACAGACACTTCTCGGAAGAAGACATTTATGCGGCCAACAAACATATGAAAAACTCATTATCACTGGTTATTAGAGAAATGCAAATCAAAACCACAGTGAGATACTATCTCATGCCAGGTAGAATGGCAATCATTAAAAAGTCAGGAAACAACAGATGTTGGAGAGGATGTGGAGAAATAACGCTTTTACACTGTTGGTGGAAGTGTAAATTAGTTCAACTATTGTGGAAGACATTGTGGTGATTCCTCAAGGATCTAGAGCCAGAAATACCATTTGACCCAGCAATGCCATTACTAGGTATATACCCAAAGGATTATAAATCATTCTACTATAAAGACACATGCACATGTATGTTTATTGCAGCACTATTTGCAACAGCAAAGACATGGAACCAACCCAAATGCCCATCAATGATAGGCTGGATAAAGAAAATGTGTCATATATACACCATGGAATACTATGCAGCCATAAAAGGATGAGTTCATGTCCTTTGCAGGGACATGGATGAAGCTGGAAACCATCATTCTTAGCAAACTAACACGGGAACAGAAAACCAAACACTGCATGTTCTTACTCATAAGTGGGAGTTGAACAATGAGAACACATGGACACAGGGAGGGGAACATCACACACCAGGGCCTGTCGGGGGGTGGGGGGCTAGGGGAGGGATAACATTAGGAGAAATATCTAATGTATATGACAGGTTGATGGGTGCAGCAAACCACCATGGCACATGTATACCTATGTAACAAACCTGCACGTTCTGCACATGTATCCCAGAACTTAAAGTATAATAAAAATAAAATAAAAATAAATTTAACCATAAAAAAGGTGAGGGGTGAACGGTTGCAACATATGAATCTTGGAGAAATTCAAGAGCTAATAGACACCACACCAGAGGAATTAATGGAAGAAGACCTGTTGGAGAAGACCTGTTGGAGATGAGTGCTTCCAAAGTAGTACCAAAAGATAAAAACAAAGACATGGAAGAAGCAGTGCCAGAAGCAAGTTGCTATAAGTTAATCTAGCAGAGGGGTTCTCATTTTTCAAGATGTTTTTGACTTCTTTTACAACATGGATCCTTGTATGATACAAAACTAAAGCATATGGTGGAAGGAAGATTAGTACTGTATAGAAATATTTTCAGAGAAATGAAAAAGTAAAAAGTCATATATTATGATGAATTTCCATAAAGTTACCCCAACTGTGCCTGGCTCCTCTGCCTCCCCTTCTACCTCCTCCATCTCATCTAACTCTTGCCACTCCTGAAACAGGGAGACAAACTCTCCTCTTTCTCCTCCTCCTCCTCAGCCTACTTAACATGAAGATGACGAGAATGAAGACATTTATGGTGATCCATTTTAACTTGATGAATAGTAAATACATTTTCGCTTCCTTATGATTTTGTAACAACATTTTCTTTAGTTTACAGTATATAATGCATATATTGTAACAATACAATATATAATAGATACACAAAATACGTGTTAATTGACTATGTTATTGGTCAGGCTTCTTGTTAGCAGTAGTTAAGTTTTAGGGATATCAAAATTATACATGGATTTTTGACTGTGTGTAATCATTCGCAAAAGTACAGAAAAAATCATGTATTCATTTATATTAAAGATTCAGCTAAGAAAATAAAGCATTGTAATGCTAAAAACAAAAGCCATACTTCTAGCCATAAGTTTCAAATTAATATTCATTGGGGATATGTGATACCCAGCTACAAAATTAGTTTCAAAATCTCCTATTCATTTAATAGTCAAAATAACCAGAATTGACATGTTAGCTTTTGTAGTCATGAAAAAGGTTACAGAATAGGTTACAGAACATGATTACAGAATAGAAGAAATTGAGGAAATTTTCTATAGAAAACAATCATATTTTTGCAGATGGTAAAAACATATGAGTATATATATAAGAAAAGCCAAAATATTTGGTATAATGATCTGCCTGGCTATTCATTAGTTATTTCACTCCACTTTATTTTATATTGCATAGAGATACACTCATGCCTCAGAATCATTATAAAATACACAAATGTAATTCATAGAAAATTTTTGTTTACAATATATGCATTTGCTTTTTCTTCCACGTGATTGCAAATAAATAGCATAATTTAACTTATCCATATAACTTGCAGCTGTTGAGATGTTTCCAAATATAAATATTGAGCAAAGAAATACTAAAAAAATGAAATGTGCTAATGGTATTATAAGTAAAATATATATATATTCATGATATTTTCAGACCACATTGTTTTCTGTACAATTATTTAAATGGTGAAACCAATGTTTCTATCATCTAGATGATGGTTAGAAAAAAGCATTTTTCATTTAAGTATACACTGAGCTGCCAAATTTCAAATTATACAAAGAAACTCAAGTGTCAGGCTCAGTGCAATGAAGAATACTTTTCTCCTATAAAACAGCTTAATGGCACAGAGCTTGCATGAGTCATACATATCCAGACCTTGAACTCACTGATGCATTCAGAAGAAGCCAAAGATTAATGTTTAATAAAGAGCAGGTCAGCTCTGGCCATTTTAATTGCAGGAAGATGGTTTGCAATCATTTGGTGCCTTAGGCCATTGTGGTGTTCTCTTGACTATTCCACAAAAGAAATCAATCTTGCTTTTCTAAACTGTTCTGATAATCAGCAGTAGAAACCAGATTTTTAACCAAATTAGAAGTTATTGTTCAATATTATGTCATACATTTGCAACTGTTTCTTCTCAAAACACACACTGGGCTACAAATCCAAGAAGCAATTTTTGTAGCGTGTTTTCTCATTTCAAAGTAATTAATAACACTACTGAAGCCACATGGCTAATAATAGCTAGCTTTTATTGAGCATATACTATGTGTCAGTAACTTTTCTAAGCAGTAAATCAATAATTTATTTAATCTTCACAATACCCTTCTGAGGTAGATATAAAGTCCCTAACCTATAAATGAGAAAATTGAGCACAGGTTGTTTAAGTAACTTGCCTGTATAATAAAAGCTGGAGTCAGGATTCAAATCCGGGTTGTCTGGGTTTAGCAGTCACCCTCCTAATGTAAGCTATGCATGAGATACGTGATTACAAGCAAGTTACCTATTCTTGCTGAGCTAATCTTTCCTATCTATAAAATGCGAATAATCTTGAGGATTTTTTTTTTTAATTTAATGGTATAAAGACCATTATTTGTCAGGGACTTTTTTGCTGTTGTTGCAATGAATGGAAGTATACTTACGGTACCTGTAGCCACCCAGGTACAACCATAAACCATTCTATGCGTTTTAACCAGGTGAGAATTAAGTAGGACTTCATTGCACAGGTAACAGAAAAGAGCTAAGAAGCCAAAAAGGGCAATGAAGCAAACTAAAGATTAATAACAGCACAAAGCAGCTACCCCTGCTAGGCTGGAAGGACATGGGAGGTTAGCAGTGCTACCTGAGTCAGACAGTGGCAAAGGTAGGGAGCCACAAAGGAGATAGCTGCTCTGAAGTCACTGCCCAATGCAGAGAGAGAAGGGAAGTTATATCCTGTTTCTCCCTTCTTCCCGGCTCCTCCGGAAGTCAGCTGACACAGGAGACGGAAAAGCATGACCCAGGAGATGGAAAAACATAACCATCAGAGGCCAGTCCTCCCACCAGAGATCCGACCAAAGCAGCTGAAGAGTGAGGAAAGGATCGGGGATCAAGAAGTCCATGAGAAAATCATAACAAAATTGTAAATCCTAACAGATATCAAGTTTTACATCTCACTCTTCTATATTTCATTTCAATTTTGCTTGAGGATACTTCCTCCACTCTTACATCTCTCAGCCTATTAATTGCCACATTGCACTGTTAAGATTTGTGTGAATGCCACCTTAGTAAAGTAGGGAAGTTTTGATGTATAGTAATCATATTTTGAGGATTATCATGATTTATATATAATGTGATAACCTTGACTTTGCTTCCAATCTCCATATTTAGTATTAAGGTTTTTGATGTGTTCTATTTTGTTTTTATTTGTATTAATGATTTCCCATAGAAAGCTAAAACTTTGCCCCATGGTCTAAGTTAGAAGTGAGAAGCAAATCAGAAGATAAAAGGAACTCACCTCTGATACTAGATGAAGACTTTGCAACCAAAGTTTTATTTATAGGTGACAGAAAGAATGTGATAAACTAGATCTTCAGTAACAGCTTTGTAGTAAATGAGAATGGCTGTTTGTTAATCAACCACTAGTGAAAATCAGGGTCATGCCCTTCAATTTTACTTAAATTATACAGGGGACCATATTGTGAATTTCTGATGTTTTGGCTTGACATACTTAAAGATGCATTTCAGTATCCCTTTTAAGAGGTCTATAAGTGATGGGGACAGGACGCAGAGAAATTCTAGGCATAAAAGGGCAGGTTCCCAGTGAAAACCCCACCCTCAAGCCAAAAAGCCTGAAACTGCGGCCCAAAGTGACAACTTACATCCCCGTTTACCCACTCAAATGTTGCCTTTTTCTAAACTCATGACCCCGCCCCTCCCTATCCTGTGCCTGTAAAAATCCCAGACACAGGTGGTAGAATGGACTGTGGCTAGATATCAGAGAGAAGTGGCTTGACTTCAGAGGGACAGCTTGATGGCATACCTTCAGAGAAGAGTCCCCCAGGAGAGAGCCAGACTCCAGGGGAAGATTACCTATCTGTCCCTCCCCATTTCAGCTCCCCTTCCCGCTGAGAGCCACTTTCATCAGCAATAAAATACCCTGCGTTTACCATCTTTCAATTCGCTTGTGCAACCTCATTTTCCCTGGATGCCAGACAAGAGCTCAGGAGACACGAGTGTAGATACAAAAGGCTGTCAAGGCAAAGGGCCCACTGAGCTGCAATGTCAGAGGTAAAAGAGACGGTAACCTGCCCCTGGGGTTTTGGGGGTCGCACATAACCCCACAGGGATGCTGCTGGGGGTACCGCATGAAGTTTGCTCCTGCTAGCCTACAAAAGCAGTTGGCTGGTTCCTGCATTCGCTCACTCCATTTCCTGTACTCATTCATTTGCATGCTCCCTCCTGTGAGGAATTGAGAGCAGCTGGCTGAGTAAACAAGGCACCTCTGTCGCGAGTCCCGTGAAGGGTCCGGGGAAATATCCTGTATCATAAGTATATGAAACGTCTATATATTCTATGTTAATATTTCATCATTTATATGTTAGCTATTTTACATTTACACAGAAAGAAAGAGTCAAAAGTGAAGCGATTGCTAGTTGGGTTTCCTAAGAATAGACCATAAGCCCTAGATTTGAATGCAGGACGTTTACTGAGGAGTGCTCTCAGGATCACACTTGTAGCCCACTGAAATGAGCTGGGTTGGGTGAAAAGAAGCCTTAGACTGCTATGCAGTCACAACAAAGATCTCAGCTACCTTGCCAAAAGCCCTGGAGCTAGGATGAGCACTCAGAGCTGTCCAACCCTGGGGCAAAGGAGCTGGGCTTTTAAAACTCAACATTCATCAGTCATTAGAGGTAGGCTATTGCCCAGGAAGGGAGTGACCTTTGGCAATGGAGCTGAAGCCAATTTCCAAGTGGAAAATCACAGTTGAGAGGTGTTATCTACCAACACTCCTAGCATCTAGAGGAATGAGGGCTTCAGGCCTCAACATGGGGCAGGAGTAATAATTTCAGCATTCACTGCAATAGCAACACTCAATATCCAGAAAGTACTACATACTAATGAGAAGATGACTGGCTGAATTTATTAATTGCTATAAATGTTAATTTAGGTTTTATCCCAGTTTTTTGGATACCATTTCCTCAATCCTAGGTACAACTAAAGATGGTAGATAGCCATCTAAAATGGCACCCAAAAAGCCCTGCTTGCTGGTATTCAAGCCTTTGTGTAATTGTCTCTTTTGTATCTGGCCTGGACCTAGGGACTTGCTTCTACCAAATAGGGTATGGCAAAATGATGGAATGATATTTCTACAATTAGGTTATAGAAACCTGTGACGGCTGGGGGCGGTGGCTCACACCTGTGGTCCCAGCACTATGGGAGGTTGAGGCGGGCGGATCACAAGGTCAGGAGATCAAGACCATCCTGGCTAACATGGTGAAACCCCGTCTCTACTAAAAATACAAAAAATTAGCCGGGCGTGGTGGCACGTGCCTGTAGTCCCAGCTATTTGGAAGGCAGAGGTAGGAGAATCGCTTGAACCCGGGAGGCAGAAGTCGCAGTGAGCCGAGATCGTGCCACTACACTCCAGCCTGGCAACAGAGTGAAACTCCATCTCAAACAAAACAAAACAAAAATCAAACAAAACCTGTGACATCTTTATGGTCCTCTCTGTCCTTGTCTGACTCACTTCGATGAAACCAGCTGCCATACTGTGAGCTGCCTTTTTGAAGAGGCTCCCATAGCAATGAACTGAAAGTGTGGTCTCTGGCCAAGGATCTTAGGGAGACAGACTTCCAGTCCAGTAGCTGACAAGGAACTAAATCCTACCCAGAAAAACTTAGTGAGATTGGGAGTATATCCTGCCCTGGTTGAACCTGAAGATAACTACGAACTTGGCCAACATCTTATTGTGGCCCCGTGAGAATCCCTGAGTGGGAGAAAACAGCTACACCATGCCAAGATTTCTAAACCACAGAAGTTTCACAGTTGTGAAATAGTAGATGCTTTGAGTCACTAAGTGTTGGGGTGATTTTTTTATGTAGCAATAGATAATTAAGCAGGTATTATCCATTAAACTTGTTTTTTTTTTTTTTTTTTGTTCAAGGTCTGGCATGGTACCATATCAAAGTCTTGTTAAATATAATGTTTAGTTCAACTAAATATCTAAGCTCAACATAGTTCTGCACTTCAGCATTGAGAAAAGAAAAAAAAAGGGAGCTAATCCATATGATGCTATACTAGCTCCTCCTTTTTCTGTTTCCCAGGAGGTTCTTTTTTAAATCTTGGTATTTCCCACAGTTTTATCCTTAGTTCACATTTTTGGTTGTACTGTTCAAGACTATATTAAAAACCTTCCAATGAGCATTGATGTAGGGGAAAAATGCTGAAATAGTGAACATAAACAGAAATTATTAAGGTAATATCTAACACAGCGAGCAAGGAAATTATACCTGATATGGGAGACAATCTAAATGGAGTATCAAAGAAGAGACAGTTTTTCAGGACTGAACAGGTTTAATCTTTAAAATTCTGACTGCAAATGCTATATTTGCAATAGAACTTTAATATATGAGAACAATGTTTTAATTCAATAACTCACTATGTACCTAGTTTATACACTTGATACAGAAAGAACAAGGGTCTGTGACTTAACTTCTACCTCCTCTGAACCCACAATCACTTAAATGTGAATTTCTGAATGTCAAGACTTGAAAGATTTCTAAAACAAGTCTTGCTTTTAAAGTGCTATGAGAATAAAATATTTGACTAATAATTGTAGAACAGTGAATAGTTTACCCAAATCACAAAGCATGACTAAGAGGCTAAGAGGATGTTTTAAAATGAAACAATGCAAAGAACTTGGTAGGTATAACAAGCAAACTAATGATCATGTAGATTGCTCTTGGCCTGTCTTGATAGACGCGAAAGTAATGATCATGGTAAAAATGACTTTAAGATAGTAGAAATAAGGCCTAACTAGAAACAGTAACATGAAATTGAGTAAAAGAAAATGTAGTTTAAATATCTTAAAGCACCTGTGTAAACCCCATCATGTCAGCCTGTGGAACACTTTTCCAAGGGATATCTTCAAATCCCCTGTGGCTGAGTAATTTAAACATGAAATGAGGAAAGGATTGAAAAATACATTATAGAGAACAACTTCTCTTCAGCAAAGGAATGTGTTGGATGACTTAATAACGATCTATGGTGCTGCTGCCTACGGTATAATTTGTGTGGCACCATAATGAGACAGGAAGTAAATTGTGATGAATTCAGAGATGTATGAGAGTGTGTGCATGTGTATATGAATAACATGTGTATATACATATAGATAACATGTGTTAACATGTATATATGTGTTTATTTATTATAATTTTCTATTAACTCATTTTACCATTTAAAAATTAATGACCCAAGGAAGAATTTGTTTTTTTTCTTGAGAATAGTGTTTCCAGGGAAACATTTTGTAAATGTAGGGCTCTTTCTTCCTGCTGAATTTAAATAAAGCAGATATTTAATCTCTTTTCTTGTCTATTTTCCTGAACATCACTAAGGTCTGTTCAGCACAGCTAATTTAAGTCCTTAGTGTCTTCCATTTGTTTCTCTTGAACAATTCTCTTTGAACAATTACAAAAAGAAACAAATGGCACTTTTTGTAATTTCTCTTTAAAAAGTCTTTAAAAATCATAGTAGCAGTTCATCCTGAGGTGAAGGAAAGGATGCCTAGAGGCAAGGCATCAGTGAAACTCCACTTCAAACTAGTCTAGTGAGCAGCCCATGCAGAAGCTAATGGGGCCATTTCTCTGCTCAGTGCTCAGCACAACCTACAGAGCTTTTCTTTAGGGCTTAGGTTGAATTGTTCCTTTCCTCCCTCCTTCACATACTTCAAGCTGAAAGATATGTTTCCTTTGGTGGGAACACAGTGCAAGAGGTGAAATCATTAACAGAGATGCAATGTCACTGGCTCCCCAGATCTGTGTCAGCTTAAAGTGCCAACTGTGGTACCCTTTCATCTTGGACCTAACAATGAGTCCCAATTCTTATAAATTAAAAACTATACACCAAAAGGTTGTGCTTATTTAATCTTCTATTTTTTTTTTGAAACAAAGATGAACAATTAGAGAACAATTATAGTATATGGACACAGCTGTTCGCCAGTTCTGAAAAGAAAAAAGAAAGAAAGAGTGTGGGGGAGAACCTATATCATTTTGTTTCATTGGATCTGCTGCACCAATTTGCCGTCAAATTGAAACAAAGAATTGAATTCAATAATAAGAATAATCTTATCATTAGTATAAAAACTTGTAAGCCCAGAGTTAGAAAAATAATACAGTATTCCTGTGTCAAAATTTAACATGTAGTATCACTAATGTGATATCATTTCAACATTTCTTGAAAATATTATCTTATTTTTCCAAAGGTAGAATCTACCCAAAACAAAAATGAGTGAATATCAGAATTCTGCTTTTGCTTGTTTTCTTCAATGTGAATTTTACAGAATATGTATAGTCAAATGGATGTTATATGCTGAGAATCTAAGTTATTTGTCAGGTAACTAAAGTCTAAACTTTCATAGCTTTGAAATGATATGGACAAATGCTTCAAGTTGTAATGGAAAGCTTTTAAGTAGTTAGAGCTGTCATTGAGTTCTTTACATCATTTTTAAATACTAGCAATATAGCATTCTCCATTTGCATGATTCCTCACTGATCTTTTTAAAACAATAAGGACCAGGTTCATTTTAAGAACATCTAGTTCTTAATTTGTTGACACTCTCAACAATTCTCATTATTCTTTGAGATTCATGTTCCCCTTTACTTAAGTATAATGAGTCATCTAGGATTACATAATAATCACAGACATTTTCTTTTCATTTGCTAAATGCTTATCCATTAAATAGTTTTGTCACCTCACATGTTCATAAGTGACAATCCAGGAGATAAGATTATTATCTAGACATTGAGAGACTCTCTTTCTCATTTAAATTTTTGGTGTGGTTTTATGTTTGTTTGTTTGTTTTTTTGGGGTTGTGGGGGATAGAGTCTTGCTCTGTCACCCAGGCTCTAGTGCAATGTCGAGATCTCAGCTCACTGCAACCTCCACCTCCTGGGTTCAAGCAATTCCCCTGCCTCGACCTCCTGAGTAGCTGGGATTACAGGTGCACACCACCATGCCTGGCTAAAATTTTTGGATTTTTGTAGAGACGTGTTTTCACCATGTTGGCCAGGCTGGCCTTGAACTCTTGACCTCAGGAGATCTGCCTAACTTGGCCTCCCAAAGTGCTGGGATTACAGGCGAGAGCCACCACACCCGGCCTTTGGTGTGGTATTTAAACAACATTTATGGGAGAAAAAGAATCAGGCATTCGCATCAGAGAGTTCACTCCCCACACCAAAATGGCTAGAGACAACAAAAAACAAAACAAAACAAAATGGCTGCAGGGGCACTGAGTTGGGATCAAAGCCTCATGTTGACATTTTCATCTTAAATCACAAGTAGAAGAATGGTGATAGGGAGAAAGGAGAGCGCAGTTGAGTGCAGTACAGGACCATTTAGCAGAAAAATCTGTTGAAGAGACGGTCCTGCTTCCATAGCTCCAATCCCCTACTTCTGGATGGCTGAGGTCCTGTATATTCTGTATTCCATTGCATGCAGGTGAACAACTGGGGTTTGTCTAGAACGGTTTCAAAAATTTAATTCATTTCCTTATTGACCACTATAATCTACTAACTTAGGAAATAGGGCAGATGGCATAGAGAGATGCTCAATAATCACTTGATAAAAGAATGAATGATCTCATAGATGAAACATGTTCCACTTAAAGATAGTTATTTTAGCTTCGTGGACTGCTAGAGTGTATACTCTCTGAAAACACAGACAGTTTCTGTCTTCTTTACTGAATTACCAATACCTAATATAATATCCTGGCACATGGTAGTGAAATGAAAAAAAAAAAAGAGAAAGGTCAGATGAAAGAATTAATACTCATATGATGCAGAAAGAAAAATATTTGCATGAGGTAGCATTTCTTTTTCCTCAAATGAAAATGTAAGCAGTTTTAAGGTGGAATAATGTTAAAATAAATGTACCATATAAGGGGGAGATGTATTTTCATTTTACAATATGTGTATCATATTTGGGGGAGACTTGAAAATTGAATGTCATTTTGTTTTTCCAACTCAAACTTTTCATCAAAAAATATATCAAAATTAGGACGTAGTCTCACTGTTTACCATAATCATTACAATATCAGATAAACAGACATGGGTTTATCATCATTTATCCTGTGGATGTATTTATTCTCATATTTTTAAGAAACTAAATACAGAAAGGAATTACCCCAGAAAAAAATAATAATTATGATAATAAAGTAATATCACTTAGATATAAATAACTTAATTTGGAACTGTTATGTCTCTCATAAAATGGTAAAAGGAAATCAATTTATGTGGAAAGCATTGGGATAATAATATAGATCACCTTGAAGACAGAGCAGACAACCCAAGGAGGATCTTCATTCAATGAGCAGTTTCAAAAACTGGGCCTTGGTAACTCCAGTCAATTGGCAGCCCTTGCTAAGATGCAAGTTTGGTCTAACAGGAGGGAATAGGGCTGACTGTTGGAACCAGCGGTAAAATAAGTAAGTGAAGGGCATGGACTCAATCTGGTTTCCAGGAAGTTTTCAAAGCATGAAGCTGGAGAGCAGGCACCAATTGGCTTTCACAGGGCATAGGAGAAAAACCCAGTAGGCCCCCGCAAAATCTCAGCCTTCTTCCTCCAAATCTAAACAGAGGGCCCAATCTCTTAAATTAAGAGAACAATTAACATTTTCAAACATTTCGGTGGAAACTAATAACTGTTTTCTGGACACCGTTTTCTCTAACTAGGTGAGTAGAAGCTTTTACCAAAAAAATGTTTTGTATTATTAACAATAATGGTAATAATTTGTAACATGATTGAACAGCAACTGTATGTCAAGTTTGTCATAACTACTATGCACAGATTATCTCATTTATTCCTTACAGCAACTTCATGAGAAGGCATTGTCATTCCCATTTTATAGATCAAGAAATTGAGGTTCAGAGAGTTTAAAGACATTGCACATTTCCAAGGTCATACAGATAATTAGTACGACAGTTGTCATTCCAATCTAGGTGCACTGAGGATGTGGGCCACACTGATAATCATTAGGCCTTATTTCAGACTGGGCTTCAGTACAACCTGTGAAAAGGTGGGTTGTTATGTTGGCAGTATACTCATCGTATACATTAGTCAAGGATAGGTAGGAACTGGAGAAAAGTAGTTCGCAAGGCACCTGGTGAACTTTGATGCTTGTCTCAATTTGATTAGTATTGTTTTATTCTTTAAAAAAATTAGTATTATTGGTATTTAGCCCTCGTTTATTCCTAATTATTTAGTATTGTTTTGCTACTAGAAATATAATTTGTATTTTACCCTTTTAGTCTTCTATAACTTTCTTATTACAAGGCTATGAATATATATACACTGAGAATACAGATAATCTAAAAAAAGATGAGCCTGAAAATACACTCTCAGAAGCCTGTAAAACAAAACCAAAGAGAAACTTATTTATAGGACTGATTCAACATGTCGGATTTATCCACCTCCATACATTTTCATTTGGGCCATCTGTAATTCTATTTCTAGAATACTTAATTGCATTTTTTTAAATTATAAAACTTGGGGGTACACTATTCAATTATGAAACATGGAATTGTAATAATCCCCTCAGTATATGCTTAATTTATTTACTTTTTAACTTTATAGTGATGTGTGGCCATATATTGTAGATACCTTTAATCCTAAAAGCATTAGCTAATGACTATTTTCTGTACTTGCATAATGTCCAACAGCTGGATAAAACTGAGAATTTCAGTCACTATTTTGGAGTTCTTTTTAATTGAGGTCACAAATACTAATAACTGGCCATATCCAGGTGTGGTAGAAGTAATCAGTTGTACACCAGGATCCTTTCCCTCTTTTCTTGGGCGCAAAGCTTAAGCATATTATCCAGCCTGCTTTGCAGTTGGGTAGGGGCAAATGACTGAATTTCAGCTAATGGAAAGTGAGTAGAACAAATGTGTGCCATTTTAAGGCCTTGACCATAAAAGTCTCCCACATACAGCACTCCATACTTTCCCCTTTCAGCTAACCAGGGTGGTGACCACAACCCCTACCCCAGAACAAACATGGAAGCCACTTGTTAAAGATGATGGAGGCATTATCACCTGCATCTCTCATTGTTTGTGTGGAGCAGTGGAGAGCAACTTCCTCAATCCCACTTCCAACTTTCCCACCGTTAAACTGCCCCATGAGTAACAAAATGTTTTATTTTGTTCACCCTTTATGTGTTAGAACTGATTTATTTTCACAGCCCAGGTGACCTACACTCTAGGTGAGTGAATTTTTTTCAATTCTTGGATAGTATTTTCATTTGGTTCATTTTTTTTCAAGGATTGAATTCCATATCAGTTTTTCACTCACTTGAGGAGCATCTCTGGGGACTGTGAGAATGTGCCTTGCAGACCTCCCCACTTCAGGGAGAGGACTTAACCAAGGGTCCCAAACTGCATTTGGAAATCCATCACCTCATTTGAGCTGAGGATGTGCCTGCTACAGCTGCTCACAAGCAGTGAATGAGCATGGCAGGGATACTAAGGCCAATCTGTTCCTGGAGGACCCGAGCTATCCCCGACAGCTGACTTTGGCTTAAAGACAACACAGAGGCTTTGGCAAACTGAACCTTCCTTAGACTGCAGGGCAGTTTAGGATATGTCCCCTCTATTGTCATCTCTACCTTCCCTTCATCCAGTATTAAACTTGCACGGTGATCTGATCACTCTCCTAGACTTATTCAGCTGCTCCAGGCTTAACTGGCTCCTTCTCTCTTTGCTTTCATGCAGGTATTCCTCCTAATATAGATACTAGGATATTTATTTATTTGTACATAAATCTTGACATAGTCCCTTATTGGCAACTGTTTCTCAGTATTGCAGACCCCATCTATTAACAAACAGTATGTGCCATTCGTTACCTGGATATATTTATTAGTTTCTAATTTCCTAGGGCTGCTGTAACAAAATACAACATACTTGGTGGCTTAAATAATCAGAATGTATTGTCTCACAGTTTTGGAAGCTGGAAGTCCCAGATGAAGGTATTGGCAGGGTTGGATCCTTCTGAGGGCTGTGAGAGAGAATCTGTTCCAAGCCTCTCTCCCAGCTTCTGGTGGTTGGCTGGCAATCTTTGGTGTTCTTTGGCTTACAGATGCATCACCCCAATCTCTGTCTTCTTCTTTATGTGACGTTCTCCCTGTGTGTGTCTGTGTCCAAATTCTTTTTTATATAAGGACACCAGTCATACTGGATTAGGGCTCATCCTAATGATCTCACCTTGATTTAGTTACCTCTCTAAGGACCCTGTTTCACATGAGGTCACATTCAGAGGTGCTACGTGTTAGGACTCCAGCATATTTTTTTTGAGGGGGCGCAACTCAACCTATAACCGAACTATTAACCAGTCAATCACAAGATTTTGCTTCCCATATGCTTAGAAATAGCAAATGACACACTTATGGAATCACCTCTTTTTGTAGCAGATGTCTTAACATGATAAAATCCATAGATTATATTAGCAATGGATATAAAACATTATTATTCTTAAAAGTACTTTAAATCCTATGGGAACATGGTTAAACATAGCTCACCAATCTAATGAAATTATTATCCATGATACAATTTTCAACAGAAAATTGTAGAATACAAATCAAATGTCAACCCAAGAGGGAAAACCATGCAAATAAATTGCTGAAGAAACACTGCGATGGTTAATTTTGTGTGTCAATTTGAGCCACGAGATGCCTACATATCTAATCAAACCAAACTGGGTGTTTCTGTGAGGGTGTTAACCAGAAGAGAATAGCATTTGAATAAAACAGATGGCCCTCCCCAATGGGGGTGGGTATCAACCAATCCACTTAGGGCCCGAATAGAACAAAAAAGCAGAAGGTTAGACTCATTCTCCCTCTGCCTAACTGCTGGAGCTGAGCTATCAAACTTTTGCTTTGTATGCTTTATTCTCAGGCCTTCAGACACTGACTGGATTCCACAGAATCAGCTTTCTGGTACAGAGGCCTTTAAACTACACACCCCTGTCTTCCCTGGGTATCCAGCTTACAGAAGGCAGATCATGGGACTTCTCAGCTTCCATAATTATGTGAGTCATCACCTTATATTAAATTTCTTTTGATCTATCTGTCTGTCTATCTATCTATTCTATTGGTTTTGTTTCTCTGGAAAACCCTGGCTAATACAGATGTTGGTAACAGGATTGGTTCTAGAGGAATAGAATTTTAAGGATGAGTTTTCTGAATTGGTTTTGGGGTTCTGGAATTGTCTCTATAATCTTATTAGATTTAAATCTGCTAATGACCTTATTTCTAGTAGTAAAGAGAGCACTTATAGTCCATGGTTGGAACCGGTAGTACAGATATGGAAAATATCTCTTGGGTACTCCTAGTCAATGGCTTATGAAGCAAATTGCTGGCTGATTGTGCATGTGGTACTTTTAAACATTTTCGGAAAGCTAATTAATATAATGATGTTGATTGATTGCTTGCTCCTAATGTTGCTGGACGAAGTGATGAAAGAAGAAGATGAGCTCAGGAATTCAAATTCGCAGCAAAAGTGCTGTATGTGTAATGGTCATGTGCTGTATGTACAATAATGATAATGATTTGTAACATGATTGAACAGCAACCATATGTCAAGTTTGTGATTACTACTATGCACAGATCATCTCATTTATTCCTTGCAGCAACTTTATGAGAAGGCATTGCCATTCCCATCTGATAGATCAAAAAATGTGTGTGCTTCTATGTGTGCCTTTAAGGAGACCCATATCTCTTGTAAACACAGGGCTGAGATTATGGAAAATTAAAGGTACAGTCTCATCTTGTGACTAGCTAAATTATAATGCAAGTTGAACTCCCAGCCCTAAAGGTATCTACTGTTAAAATGAAAATATTGATTGGGAAAGAATGGAATCCTATATATTGGAATGGAGACGTGTAGGAAGATGCGATGAAGCTGGGGACATTGAGCCCCTAAAATTTGATGAGTATTTTTGCCAGTGGAAGAAGTCTCCACAGCCCCAGTGGAAACAGCCTTCCCATTCCCAGTAGTAGCAGGCTTTCTACCCTCATCTAAGAAGATTAATTCTGCATTGCCTGGGGAAACTTAATGGCCTCACCAGAAGTAGTTTCTATGCAAGACAAGGCTGATTCTCTTCAGAACCCACACCTAACACCCCTCTTTGCTTCTAGACCTGCAACTAGACTCAAACCCAGCAGACCCCAAAGGTGAGGTACAAAATATGGCCCATTAGGAGGTGCACTACACTCCAAAAGAACTACTTGAATTTTCTAATTTACATAGACATAAACCTGGAGAATATGTGTGGGATGGATGCTAAGGGTATAAAACAATGGTGGAAGGAGCATAAAGTTGGATGAGTTCAATGTTGATATGGGCTCACTAAGGAAAGATTCTGCATTTAATGTTGCAGCTCAGGGAGTTAGAAGGGGCTGTAATTTTCTTGGTTGATTGGCTGAAACATGGACCAAAAGATGGCCCACCATCAGCAAATTAGAAATGCCTGACCTGCCTTGATTTGATGTAGAGATGCAAAGGCTTAGGAGGATTGTTATGTTAGAGTGGATTTGTCATCTAAAACATACTCACCCACACAGGGAGGGTCCAGAAAACATTTTTCCCTGATACTGTGAGAAATAAATTTGTGGAAGGAATCCCAGCATCCTTAAAGAGCTTTTTGTTTTCCATAGGCCAGACCTTATACAGTTGTCCCTTGGTATACATAGGGGATTTGTTCCAGGACTTCCTGCACATACCAAAATCTGCATATACTAATGTCCTGCATTCAACCCTGTGGAGCCCCTAAGATATAAAAAGTTGGCCATCTAAATCGACGGGTTTTACATTCCATGAATACTGTATTTTCAATTGCATTTGGTTGCTAATGTCAAATCTGTAGATAGTGGAGGGCAAACTATATATTAAAAAAAAAATCTGCATATAAGTGAACCCATACAGTTCAAACCCATGTTGTTCAAGGGTCAACTGTAGTAGGAAATGGAGATATTCAATTTGGAAACCTAAATGCAATAGGAGTAATGCTATTCTGGGAGTAATAAAAGTAATTGGATGTAAGTGGAGGCAGGCACTCAATGGCCAAAGGCAAGGTGGGCACGCTTACTGTAAGGGACAGCAAAGGCAAAGCAGCAATTGGATAGTCTGACTTGTGCAGACCTATGACATTGATTTATTGATTATGGTGTTCCTACAATAATCAATTAGTCAGATAGATAGGAAGCCTACTAAAGTCTTACTTGATCTCTATATGCAAAAATGTTCTAAGTCAAGTGAACAAAATTCTAACCCAAATCATGAAAACAGAGAGTCATACCTGACAGGCCACAGACTTCAGAAAAGAAAAAAATGTCATGACCCCTTAATGAGGTCTTGGGCCTGTATACAGACTCAGAACCCCTTGAATGAAGGGGAGGCTAGGAACCTATGAGGAAGGATTCTGATACAGTATCAAAAATTTATACTGTCAATCATTATCCTACCCTTTTCCACAGGCACCTATGGTATTTTACAAAGGTAACTGTGTACTGAAGAAGAGGAAATAATCAAACCTTTCAGGACATACCAGACACTGGCTCTTAACTGACACAAATTCCAGGAGACCCAAAACATCACTGTGGCCTATCAATCAGAATGGGAGTTTAGGAAGGTCAGGTGGTCAGGGAAGTTTTAGCTCAGGTTCATTGCACAGTGGACCCAGTGGGTCTGTCAATCCATTCTGTGTTTATTTCTTCAGCTCCAGAAGGCATAACTGGAATAGATATATTCAGCAGCTGGCAGTATCCCCACATTGGTTTCCTAGCCTGTGGAGTGAGGGCTATTATGGTGGGAAAGGCCAAGTGGAAACCAATAAAAAAATCCCTCTATCTAGAAAAATAGTAAACAAAAAGCAATACCACATTCCTGAATGGATTACAGAAATTAATGCCACCAAAATTCACTTGAAAGATGCAGGGGTGATGATCCTCACCACATCTCCATTCAACTCTGCTATTTGGCCTGTGCAAAAGCCAGATGGATCTTGGAGAATGAAAATATAGGCTAAAACAGGTAGTGACTATAATTGCAGCTGTTCTGTCAGATATGGTTTCTTTGCTTAAATTAACACATATCTGGTATGCAGCTATGGACCTGGCAAATGTATTTTTCTTGATACCTCTTTGTAAAGATCACCAGAAGCATTTTGATTTCAGTTGGCAAGGACAGCAATACACTTCCACTGTCCTACCTCTGAGGTATACTGACTTTCCAGCCCTAAGTCATAATTCAGTTTGCAGGGATCTTGATCTCCTTTTCCTTCAAGAAGATATCATACTAGTTCATTATATTGATGGCATTATGCTGATTGGACTTACTGAGCAACACGTAACAACTATTCTAGTCTTACTGGTAAGGGATTTGCTTATCAGAGAGTGGGAAATATATGTAACAAAAATTCAGAGGCCTTCTACTTCAGGGAAATTTCTACAGGTCCAGTGGTGTGGAAAATGTCAAGATATTTATTCTAAGGTAAAGAATAAGTTGTTGCATTTGGCCCCTCCTGCAACCAAAAAAGAGGCACAGTGGCTAGTGGGCCTATTTGGATTTTGGAGGCAACATATTTCTCATTCAGGTGTGTTACTCTGGCCCATTTACTGAGTAACCTGACAAGCTTCTAGTTTTGAGTAAAGGCCCAGAATAGGAAAAGACTCCATAACAAGTCCAGCCTGCTGTGCAAGCTGCTCTGTCACTTGAGCCATATGATCCAGCAGATCCAGTGATGCTTAAAGTATCCGTGAAAGACAGGAATGCTATTTGGAGCCTTTGGAAGGCTCTGATAGTATTTGAAGCAAAGCCCTGACACCCTCCGCAGATAACTACTCTTCTTTTGAGAAACAGTCCTTGACCTCCTGCTGGTCCTTAATGGAGAATAAATGCTTAACCATGGGCCACCAAGTTATGCAACCTGAGCTGCTCTTTATGAACTGTGTATTATCTGACTCACCAAGCCATAAAGTTCAACAGGCACTGCCACATTCCATCCTCAAACAAAAGTGATAGATATGTGATCAGGCCTAAGCAGGCCCTGAAGGCAAAAGTTACATATAGAAATGACCATCTTAGTGCATTTGTGTTGCTGTAAAGGAATACCTAAAGTTGGGTAAATTATGAAGAAAAGAGGTTCATATAGCTCACAGTTCTGCAGATTATTCAAGAAACATGGCGCCAGGGTCTGCATCTAGTGAGGGCTTCAGGCTGCTTCCACTCATGGTGGAAAGAGAAGGAGAGCCAAGCATGTGCAGAGATAACATGAAAAGAGAGGAAGCAGGAGAGTGAAATTGAGGAAGCCAGAGTCTTTTTAACAACCTGATCTCTTAGGAACTAAGAGTGAAAACTTACTCATCAACATGAGAACAGCACTAAGCCATTCATGAGGGATATGCTCCTATGACCTAAATACCTCCCATTAGGCCCCACCTCCAATATTAGGGATCAAATTTCACCATGAGATTTTGGGGGACAATCATCCAACTTACAGCAATGACCTAAATGCCCATGGTCTCCACTCTGGTTCCAACACTTTCTATTTCTCAGCCTGCACCTATGGCCTCATGGGGAGTACACTACCATCAGGTGAGTAAGGAATAGAAGACTTTGGCCTGGTTTACAGATGGTTCTGCATGATATGCAGTTACCACTCAAAAGTGGACAACTGTAGCTCTGTAGCCCCTGTTGCGGGACATCCCTGATGGACTGGAGTGAAGGGAAATCCTTCCAATGGGCAAAAATTGCAAAAATTCAAATGGTGCACCTGGTTGTTTACTTTGCTTGAAAAGAGAAATAACCAGATATTCTATCATATACTGATCAATAAACTGCAGTCAATGGTTTGGCTAAATGACCAGGGACTTGAAAGAAATATGATTGGAAAATTGGCAATGGGGACATTTGAGGAAGAGTTATGTGGGCAAAAAATGTGAATATATTTCTATGCCATATAAGTGTTCACCAAGGGGTGATCTTAGCAGAGAAAAAGTTTAATAATCAAGTGATTAAAATGACCCTTTCTGAGGAAACCAGTCAATCTCTTTCTCTAGCCACATTGCCATTGCTCAATGGGTTCATGAACAAAGTAGTCATGGTGGAAGGAATGGAGGATATGCATGCGCTCAGCAACATGGACTTTCACTTAACAAGGCTGGCACTGATGAATGTCTAATCCAGCAGCAGAGAACAACACTGAGTCCCTTGTATGGCTGATTCTTGTGGGTGATCAGGCAGCTAACTGCTGACAAATTAATTAAATTGGGTCTCTTCTATCATAGAAGGGCAATATTTTGTTCTTACTGAAATAGACACTTACTGTGGTTATAGATTTTCCTTCCCTGCACAAAATCCTTATGCCCAAATTCCCAACTGTGAGCCACAATCATGCCACTGCACTCTAGCCTGGGAGACAAAGAGAGATCCTAACTCAGAAAAGAGAAGAGAAGAGAAGGCTATGATGACTGAATACATGTGGGGTTAAGGAAGAAAATACTCTTCTCAGCACCACTATGCACTTATTCTAAAATTGACCACATAATTGGAAGTAAAACACTCCTCAGCAAATGCAAAAGCATGGAAATCATAACAAACAGTCTCTCAGAACACAGTGCAATCAAATTAGAACTCAGAATTAAGTAACTCACTCAAAACCGCACAACTACATGGCAACTGAAACAACCTGCTCCTGAATGACTACTGGGTAAATAAATTAAGGCAGAAATAAATAAGTTCTTTGAAACCAATGAGAACAAAGACACAATGTACGAGAATGTCTGGGACACAGCTAAAGCAGTGTTTAGAGGGAAATTTAGAGCACTAAATGCCCACAGGAGAAAGCAGGAAAGATCTAAAATCAACACCCTAACATCATACATAAAAGACCTAGGGAAGCAAGAGCAAACAAATTCAAAAGCTAGTAGAAGGCAAGAAATAACTAAGATCGGAGCAGAAGTGAGGGAGATGGAGACATGAAAACCCTTCAAAAAAATCAATGAATCCAGGAGCTGGTTTTTTCAAAAGGTTAACACAATAAATAGACCACTAGCCAGACTAATAAGAAAAGAGAGAAGAATCAAACAGACACAATAAAAAATGATAAAGGGGATATCACCACTGATACCACAGAAACACAGAGTACCATTAGAGAATACTATAAACACCTCTACACAAATAAACTAGAAAATCTAGAAGAAATGGATAAATTCCTGGACACATACATCCTCCCAGGCCTAAACCAGGAAGAAGTTGAATCCCTGAATAGACTAATAACAAGTTCTGAAATTGAGGCAGTAATTAATAGCCTGCCAACCAAAAAAGGCCTAGGACCAGACAGATTCACAGCCAAATTCTACCAGAGGCACAAAGAGGAGCTGCTACCATTCCTTCTAAAACTATTCCAAACAATAGAAAAAGAGAGACTCCTCCCTAACTCATTTTATGAGGCCAGCATCATCCTGATATGAAAACCTGGCAGAGACACAACAAAAAAAGAAAATTTCAGGCCAATATCCCTGATGAACATTGATGCAAAAATCCTCAATAAAATACTGGCAAACCAAATCCAGTAGCACATCAAAAAGCTTATCTACCAAGATCAAGCCAACTTCATCCCTGGGATGCAAGGCTGGTTCAAGATATGCAAATCAATAAACATAATCCATCACATAAACAGAACCAATGACAAAACGGACATGATTATCTCAATAGATGCAGAAAATGCCTTCAATAAAATTCAACAGCCCTTCATGCTAAAAACTCTCAATAAACTAGGTATTGATGGAACATACCTCAAAATAATAGCTATTTATCACAAACCCACAGCCAATATCATACTGAATAGGCAAAGGCTGGAAGCCTTCCCTTTGAAAACTGGCACAAGATAAGGATGTCCTCTCTCACCACTCTTATTCCACATAGTATTGGAAGCTCTGGCCAGGGCAATCAGGCAATAGAAAGAAAGAAAGGGTATTCAAATAGGAAAAGAGGAAGTCAAATTGTCTCTGTTTCCAGATGACGTGATTGTATATTTAGAAAACCCCATCGTCTCAGCTCCAAATCTTACACTGATAAGCAACTTCAGCAAAGTCTCAGGATACAAAATCAATGTGCAAAAATCACAAACATTGCTATACACCAATAATAGACAAACAGCCAAATCATGAGTGAACTCCCATTCACATTAACTACAAAGAGAATAAAATACCTAGGAATAAACTTACAAGGGATGTGAAGGGCCTCTTCAAAGAGAACTACAAACTACCATTGGAGGAAATAAGAGAGGACACAAACAAATGGAAAAAAGTTCCATGCTCATGAATAGGAAGAATGAATATTGTGAAAATGGCCATAGGGCCCAAAGTAATTCATAGATTCAGTGCTTTCCCCATCAACCTACCATCGACTTTCTTCACAGAGTTAGAAAAAACTACTTTAAATTTCATATGGAACCAAAAAAGAGCCCATATAGCCTGCACAATCCTAAGCAAAAAGAACAATGCTGGAGGCATCATGCTACCTGACTTCAAACTATACTACAAGGCTACAGTAACAAAAACAGCATGGTACTGGTACCAAAACAGATATATAGGCCAATGGAACAGAACAGAGGCCCCAGAAATAATGCCACACATCTACAACATCTGATCTTTGACAAACATGACAAAAACAAGCAATGGGGAAAGGATTCCCTATTTAATAAATGACGTTGGGAAAACTGCCTAGCCATATGCAGAAAACTGAAACTGGACCCCTTCCTTATAACTTATACAAAATTAACTCAAGATGAATTAAAGACTTAAACGTAAGACCTAAAACCATAAAAACCCTAGAAGAAAACCTAGGCAATACCATTCAGGACATAGGCATGGGCACAGACTTCATGTCTAAAACACCAAAAGCAATGGCAACAAAAGCCAAAACTGACAAATGGGATCTAATTAAACTAAAGAGTTTCTGTGAAGCAAAAGAAACAATCATCAGAGTGAACAGGCAACATACAGAATGGGAGAACATTTTTGCAATCTGTCCAGCTGACAAAGGGCTAATATCCAGAATCTATCAGGAACTTAAATAAATTTACAAGAAAAAAACAACCACATCAAAAAGTGGTTGAAGGATATGAGCAGACACTTCTCAACAGAAGACATTTATGCAGCCAACAAACATGAAAAAAAGCTCATCATCACTGGTCATTAGAGAAATGCAAATCAAAACCACAGTGAGATACCATCTCACACCAGTTAGAATGGTGATCATTAAAAAGTCAGGAAACAACAGATGCTGGAGAGGATGTGGAAAAATAGGAACACTTTTTCACTGTTGGTGGGAGTGTAAATTAGTTCAACCATTGTGGAAGACAGTGTGGCAATGCCTCAAGGATCTAGAACCAGAAATGTCATTTGACCCAGCCATCCCATTACTGGGTATATACCCAAAGGATTATAAATCATTCTTCTATGAAGACACATGCACACGTATGTTTATTGTGGCACTATTCACAATAGCAAAGACTTGGAAGCAACCCAAATGTCCATCAATGATAGACTGGATTAAGAAAATGTGGCACATATACACCATGGAATACTATGCAGCCATAAAAAAGGATGAGTTTATGTCCTTTGCAGGGACATGGATGAAGCTGGAAACCATCATTCTCAGCAAACTAACACAAGAACAGAAAACCAAACACCACATATTCTCACTCATAAGTGGGAGTTGAACAATGAGAACACATGGACACAGGGATGGGAACATCACACACCAGGGCCTGTCAGCGGGGTGAGGGGCTAAGAGAGGGATAGCATTAGGAGAAACACCTAATGTATATGACAGGTTGATGGGTGCAGCAAACTACCATGGCACATGTATACCTATTTAACAAATCTGCACATTCTGCACATGTATCCCAGAACTCAAAGTATAATAAAAATAAAAATAAGAAATGAAGATAATTTTTGGAGTTCTAATTTGGGCAAATGGACACATTATAAATCATCTAGTATAACAGGAAAGAAAAACAGTTCTTATTCATCTACAACATCAGGTTTATTTAAAATAAAAATGTATTTTCTATTTGTTATTAAATTTATCACAATGGTTCTTTTTTTATTGTCACTAGAATAGGGAAGGATTTTATAGGTTTTTACTGTTGTGTGTTTGTACCTAAGGAGAAAAGCCTTTTGTGTAAAGAATAGCAAAATCACTAAAACACCTTAGAGGTCTTTATTCTGTTTAAACAAATTCTCAATGCTAATTGGACATAGATGATTTCATAAGCATGCTCTCTTCAGAATATGTCCCAATATACATCAGAGTACTTACTATGCATAGCCAGAAGTAAAATTTCAATCATTTGATAATTTCTCACTTGCTGTGTTTTCTTTTAGGAAAGGTAAATTATTTTTTTCTGATAAATAAAATGTTTTGAAGTGTATAGCTAATTTTTAAAATCCAGGACCTCCACTAGCATATTCAGACTATGTCAAGGTTGATTTTTAAAGAGCAAGTACTTTCAAGTCTATAAGAGAAGGAAAGGGGACATGAGTGGAGGTTAGGGAGAGACAGAAAGAAAAGAAGGAAGGAAAGAAGGAAGAAAGGGACAGAGGGAGGAAGGGAAGGAGAAAGAAACAGGTAGAAGGCATATATCAGAATAAATATAACTTTTTACTCTGAGGAACACTTTAAAATACACACAATATGCCATATGGTGAGGGCCTATTCTTCCATAATATTTAAGCAGAAGGACTTAAGACATGTAATATATTGCTTTCTGCCTATAATACAAAAAGTTCAGCCAAAAACTGGTAATTACATGAGGAAATAAAATATTCTTGGTGGGGGGAAGACAAACTTCAAATTCCACCATACAGAGAAAGAGATTGAGTATACTGCGAGCATTACTTTAAATTAATCTGGAATGAAAGCATCATAGATCTCTTAAAAACACTAAGTACTTAGTATAGGTAAAACAATAAATTTTGCTCCAGAGAGTACCTCTGTAGCAGTCCAAGTGGTGCTTATGGTAACTTAGAACTAAAATGACATTTCCTCCGCTATTATGAATTGCATCTCTATGACAAAAATGTGTTCCTTAAAAGACTGAGCTGGTAGAGTTTCTAATGTGTATAAATATAAGTTTTCTATACTGGAGAGAAAAATTGCCTTGGCTTATATGAAAATCCTCCCTTCATTGAATCCTAAACTTGAAAAAGATAAACCAATAAGCTTTAAAAATAAATTAAAATGCCATAAAATAACAGCTCATAAATAAAGGCTGCCTATTGCTTCTAGTACCCGAGAACAACTCTAAGTTGCTATGTTTCCTGTTCTATGCAAAGTAAGAAGAATGGAAACCCTTCTAAGCACATTGTCTTGGTGGGGAAGGATGTATTTAAATAAATATGTTTGTTCTGATTGAGTTAATGCAAACAAGGTGTGTTGCTGTAGCAGGGGTTGGTTACACACATATAGGGGTAATTTACAAAGATAATAGAGCATAGGGTGTAACACATGCTCAAGAGTCACACTACTGCCATCCAAATCTAGGCTCTACCCTTTACTAAAAATTGTGGTTTTTTTTAATTTTTTTATTTTTTACTCTTTTTATTATTATGATTATTATACTTTAAGTTTTAGGGTACATGTGCACAATGTGCAGGTTAGTTATATATGTATACATGTGCCATGCTGGTGCGCTGCACCCATTAACTCGTCATTTAGCATTAGGTATATCTCCCGATGCTATCCCTCCCCCTCCCCCCACCCCACAATAGTCCCCAGAGTGTGATGTTCCCCTTCCTGTGTCCATGTGTTCTCATTGATCAATTCCCATCTATGAGTGAGAACATGCGGTGTTTGGTTCCTTTACTAAAAATTGTTGCTCAAAATCCTCATGCTGCAGTTTCCTCTTCTGGAAGAAGGAAGTGATAAAAGTTATCTATCTCAAAGTGTTTCTGGAAGTATTAAAACTTGCATTTCTCATCAGGATTTCTCAACTCCAGTGCTATTGGCAGTGGGGGCTAGAAAATTCTTTTTTGCAGGGGGCTGTCCTGTGCATCACAAAATATTTAGCAACATTCCTGGACCCTTACTAGATGCCAGCAACAACCCCACACAGGTGTGACAACCCCCAAAAGATTCAGACATTGCCAGATGTCCCCTGGGGGTCAAAGTCTCCCCAGTTGAGAACTAGTCATATACAGAAAGTGCTTGTGGACATAATAAGGATTCAATAAATACTAATTAATAATGACAGGATTCCCACTTGATACTTTCAGAAAGCACTCAGTCTTATGAAAAGAAATAAAAGTCAAAGGTATCTTCCAGAGAAAACTATAATTCAATACCCACCACATCCATTCCCCAACCTGCTGCACAAAAAGAAACACATACCATAAAGAATATTCTATCAGCATTCAATAAACTTTTCTACTTCTAAAATACACACAAACACACACACACACACACACACACACATCCTTGTTTTCATAAAAGCTATTTCTTTTTTGTTCTCACTTCTCCTAAATAATTCCTCTAATTCATCTTTGTTTATCCATCATTGCAAGATTGGTTTTAGTGCCTACTCTTACCTCTTCTGGAGCTCCATTCCCTTTCTCTGGAAATTCTCATCAATGTTGACTCCTTCCCAGTGAGTTGGTGGCTTAAACCTCTCAGTCAGACCACTCGCCTCCATTCCAGACCAATATTTCTAATTGAGTAGATTAAAAGAACAACCAACCAAAAATGCACTCGTATTATGTTTGTACCCTAGTCCTCTAGGCTTCTGAAGTTTATGTTTGGTATTTAATATCCAAGGAAAGTTATTTGAATCCACATGCCGCACAATGGTAGACAGCTGAATTCCCTCCTCGGTATGTTTAAAATGTCTTCTGAGTGAGAAAGCTACATATACTCTCTGGGCAGTCATTTCTTCCTTAGAATTCCACTTCCCAATCCAGTTCTCTTTTCATCTTGCTTCTGCCTATTCTTCTAAATCTCTTTTGTTTAAAGAATGAACAAAATGTTGCTTTGGTGAAGTAACAATAAGCATAATCCTGTTGTTTTAAAAACTCTTTTACCAAAGATTTGAGGATAACAAAATGAAAATAAAACAAAAACACAAATTCATTAAAAACTGCATAATAGCTGCTCTTTCCAAGGTTTATAAGCCATCCCTTCCATTGAAAAAGTCTAGTGCTTACTGTCTCTCTTCACATTGTTACTAGGTTTCTGTTCTTCCCTCTCAGACTGTTTTCTTTCCAATTATTTCATCCCTCACTCACCCTGGCTAGAACAACTTTGGTTTTCTACCTCTCATTTTCTATCACAAAGTTCTGTAAAATCTACCTTTCCAAAATTAAAATTTTGACCCTGCTTTTCCCTCTGTATTCCCAAGGAATTAATTTGTATCCACTTACTCGAATTATTATAATTTTCTGTTTCTGTCCATTTATATGAGATGTCCACTAGGCAGATATATATAGAAAAAGTTATATTGGGGTGGGAGGAAAGGGAGATAAGGTGAATATGGCTAATGGGTACAAGACATATTTTTGAAGTGATGAAAATGTGCAAAAATTAGATTGTGGTGATGGTTGCATAACTCTGTGAATACACTAAAATCCTTTTAATTTTACCCTCTATAATGGTGAATTATATCCCAATAAAGCTAATTAAATAAAACCCAAGGGATAGAAAAAGGTAGTCTGAGATTTCACACTACTTGCAAGTAAACCAGTTAGCCTGCCACAGACTCAAGGATGATGGCAAAAGATACAGCATTCCTGGGTCAGAGACAAAGGACTTTGTTACTCATAGCACAGCAAACACCATGAACATCATCACATTTGCCTCAATTCCCCTTGCTCCTGAGTTTCATGGGGTGACACAAATGGGCCTGGGTGGATATATGCAAATGGTAGGTTACATTACATGAATGGAATCCCAAGCTTCAGAAATCTGAACTTTTTATAATGGGCACTAACCCTTCCTCCTTTGTTCCTTGCTCCAGTGAAAGACATAATCTCTATCTCCCAAGACTGTAAGCAAACCTGCGCTTTGCTCTAGAGGAAGACACTATAGTTTCCAAGGCTATTTTGCTGTAAAAACATACTTGAAAAGATGGTCCAAAATGAGGGGCAATCAGTGCCTCATTCACTTAGACATGCAGAAACATGAGAGATCCATGAAAAATTGTTCCCAAATAGATGGTAATTCAAGAATTCTCCATAGCAAGAGAGAATGTTAAAAATCAAATCTGGAGTGAGACCCGAAACAAAAGCCCAAGACAGTCTTATGTTTTCATTATACTGATACATAAAGCAGATGGAAAGCAGAGTATAAAATATGGGGAAGGGTGAAGTGAAGAATTGTAAAAGTCAAGACAGAAGAATAGACAGAGTATTGGGCAGATAACATGGAGTGGTTCCGGATATTTAGTTGATTGTTATTCTTTATAACATCTACTGTATTCTCTGTGAAGCTTTAGGAAAGTTGTCAGGATATGGCCTCAAAATGTACTATATAGTCATCTAACTAGCTACTCAGGCTGCAGTCACACCTCTTCTAGTTTTTGTTTTTGTTTTTGTTTTTGTTTTTTAGGCTGGAGTGCAGTGGCCTGATCATAGCTGACTGCAAACTCAAACTCCTGGACTCAAAGAGTCCTCATGCCTCAGCCTCTTGAGTAGCTAGGACTATAGGCATGCACCATCACACCAGCCAATTTTTTATTTTTTGTAGAGATAAGGTCTCACTATGTTGCACAGGCTGACCCTGAACTCCTGGCCTCATGCAATCCTCCCACCTCAGCCTTCCACAGTAATGGGATTACAGTCATAAGCCAAAGTGCTTGGCCTCTCATAGTTTTAAAATATGGCTCTACTAATATCACTCCCTTTAACATAAAGTTCAAACTTCTTATAACCCTTGTATTCTTTCTTTAATAAGGGAGCGTCTTCCTAAAATAAAGGCAGTCCTTTATATCAAAAATCCACCACTCACTGATGCATGAAGGAAATTTATATTTAGCATCAAGTTTGTTGTCCATATATTGCAATATTTTCTGATCTTTTACATTGATAGCCTGTCTAGGGAACCTAGCCAATATTCAACTAATGAATAAAGATTGCAAAAACAGAACTGAATTAATTAAATTCCATTGTTCCACTTTCTTTGAACATACAAATGTGGCCCCTTCTTGGCCAGTCTGTCAAGACAAAAGAATATTAAGGATGAAAGAAGTAAAGTAGTAGAAGAAGTAAAATATATCTAGTTTCATTTTGTACCTTTATTCAAAAATTACAGTTTCCTTGTCATTTCAATGGGTAGAATATTTTAAGGCAAATCTACCCTATCTGCAGCAATCATTCCTGGTTTTCTCTTCCATCCATAATCCAGGCTTAAATCATTTTATCATATCACAATTCCTTTTAATCTAATTGCTTCATTCCCTTTGTATTGTAGCCTAAAAGCTCTCTTTTACAAAGCTACCTAATGATTGAATTAAGTCCCTGTTTAACCAGATGTATCCATTTTTGAGTGGCTTAATTCTATCTTCATGAAAGGGAAAGTAATATTTTGCATAGAATGAAATTGAAAGTCTGAAAATTTGGCCACAACCAATGGAAGTAGAAATAAAATTAGCCAAGAATGTGTTCTCTAATTTAATTTTAATCTTTTGAATTCTCCGATAGAAATTTGGATCTCTTTCACAACATTGACTGTGGAGAAAACATTCTTCACTTCCATGAACCAAAGGCCTGAGAAGATTGTTTTTTTATTAGCTTTTTTTTCTTTTCTTTTCTTTTTTTTTTTTTTTTGAGATGGATTTTTCTCTCTTGTTGCCCCGGCTGGAATGCAGTGACGCGATCTCAGCTCACTGCAACCTCCACCTCCCGAGTTCAAGCGATTCTCCTGCCTCAGCCTCCCGAGTAGCTCGATTACAGGCATCCACCACCATGCCCAGCTAATATTTTGTATTTTTAGTAGAGACAGGGTATCACCATGTTTGCCAGGCTGGTCTTGAACTCCTAATCTTAGGCAATCCACCTGCCTCAGCCTCCCAAAGTGGTGGTATTACAGGCATGAGCCACCACGCTGGCTGTTTGTTTTTTTTTTTAAGTTCCTGAGGGTAATTTCTAAACATGTCTTATATTCTATTCCACCATTCTCCACATATTGGACATCCCAGTCCCCCTGAATATACGTTAAAAACGAGAGTACAATAAATACCACCAACGTGTGACATTATTTTCATGTAATGGGTAATCACCACGCATCACCAAATATCTTCTAATATGCAGAGGTAATAGAATTCAAAATTACATATCCCTGTCTTTAAGAATCGGAATGTGAATGCAATTTTGGTTCTGCCTATTAGATTCCTATGATAAATATATGAGACTTTAATTTGAGTTAACAAGAAGATAGAGGCAGAATATGATGTGCCTGCTTTGCTAGCATAGATTGTGGTTAGAAGTTTGAGGTTCTTGAATCAATGGTTGTTCCTTAATTCAACAAGGAGCTTCCAATTTCACCAGGTTTTTGCTGAATGAATGAAAGAGTTAAGGCAACAAGGCCCTGGAGATGACAGGTCCGTTACAGACTTCTGCTTCTAAATGTACTGAACATGGCAGAAGCAATAACAACTTTGGTGGCTTAATTCTGTGATATGATTTTGAAAGTTGATCATGGAATTATCACAGCTGTACTTCTCTGTTCTTTCCTGATATTATGTAAAGTCACAGGCACCCATGAAGCTGACTGAGGTAAATAAAAGCATTTAAAAAATCAATTATCTTTAAAGAAATTTCATTATATGCAGAAATTTAAGAATTATTAAATAAGTAGAAGTGCATCAAATCAAAAAGCAACCTATGGAATGGGAGAAAATATTTGAAACCATATATCCAATAAGAGGTTAGTATCCAATGTATGTAAGAAATTCGTACAACTGAATAGCAAAAACTCAGTCCAATTAAAAATGAGCAAAAGACGTGAATAGACGACTTTATAAAGAAGAACATACAAAAGGCCAAGAGTTGTATGAAAACACGCTCAACATCACTAATAATCAGGGAAATGCAAATTAAAACCACAATGAGATAGCACCTGACACCTGTTGGGATAGGTGTTATCAAAAAGTAAGAAGATAAAGAGTGTTACTAAAGATGTGGAGAAAAGGGAACCATTATATATTGTTGGTGGGATTGTAAATTAGTACAGCCATTATGGAAAACTATATAGAGATTCCTCAAAAACTTAAAAATACAACTACCATATGATCCAGAAATCCCACTACAGGATATAAATCCAAAGGAAATGAAATCACAATCTTGAAGAGACACCTGCACTCACATGTTCATTGTGGCATCATTCATCATAGCTAAGATATGGAAGCAACTTAAGTATCCATCAGTAGGTGAATGGACAAAGATGAGATACATAAATGCAATGCAATATAAGCCTTAAAAATGAAAGAAATCCTGCCATTTGTGACAACATGGATAAACCTGAGGACATTATGCTAAGCAAAATAAGTCAGCCATAGAGTGACAAATACCATGTGATCTCACTTATGGGTAGAATTCATAAAGTTGAACTCAGAGAAACCAAGAATAGAAAGGTGGTTAACAGATGTTGAGGGGTTGGGGGAATGGGAGTGATGTTCATCAAAGGGGACTAACATACAGCATGGTGACTATAGTTAATAATATTATATACTTGAAGTTTACTAAGGCAGTAGATTATACATATTCTCATCAAAGGTAACTTTATAAGGTGATGAATATGTTAATTAGCTTGATTTTGATAATCATTTCTTAATAATATATAGCAAAACATCACAGCATATACCTTAAATATAAAAATAAGTAAAGTGCACAAATATAGTGAGAAATAAACTATAAGGCAAAACACATTTGCAAAGGGGCATTTTTATTACATTAAATCCAAATCCTTCTCAAATTAATTTTAAAAATTGAACAAAACCTTCTTGAGATAAAAGTCTGTTAAGTCTACTATATTTCAAAAAATATCTCTTTCTTATCCCAGAATAAACTCTTTCAGCTTCAAAATATATACAATAAAGACAAAATTATCACAAATAGTGCCATCAAGTAAAAATACTATTATTGAAATTTTGGAGTGTTTCCTTTTATGTATTCTTTATTCAAAAATACCTGTTTTATGTAGTTTTGGTTTTATTATAGAAACTATTTCATAAACCACCTTTTTCATAAAACCGTAAGAATTTCTCATATCATTTAAACTCTTCAAAAAAATTACACTTAATTTCTGCATAGTATTTTATAAAAGGGAACACTTCTTTCCACTTACAGCATTTTATACAGTAAGTGGAGCAATTTTCCAAAACACTCATGTCATTTTGAAACACCCCTTACTCTTCCCCATGGAGATGGAACCAATTACCAGGCTTGCGCCCTCATTCATTCATGTCTTCCTTCTTTCAGTCAACAAGTATACTTTAAGGACCTGTAACAAGTCAAGAACTGTTTCAAAGCTGAGGAGGAAGTAATGAAAACAGAAAAACATCTTAATCTCACATTGCTGGCATTTGAGGTGGGTTTAGGGTAGCAAGATGAAATATACAAAATAGGTAAGTAAAATATGGTAGGATGGATGATGTCAAGTTCTAAGGAGACAAATAAAGCAGGTTAGGGGGATGTGAATCCCAGGAATTGCTGTTTCAGATAGGGCTTTTAGATCAGTTTCCTAGGGCTGCCATAACAAAGTGCCACAAATTGCATGTTTTAAAACAGAAATTTATTGTCCGACAGTTCTGGAGGCCAGAATCTGAAATCAAGGTGTCAGCAGGATCATGTTTCCTCTAAAAACTCTAAGAAAATTCTTCCTTACCTCATCCTAGCTTCTGGTGGTTTGCTGGCAATCTTTCATATTCCTTGGCTTGCAGTAGCATAATTTCACCTTCATTGTCCCATGCAAGGTGCTGTCTCTGTGTGTCTGTATTCACATGGTCAGTTTCTTACAAGGGCCAGTCATATTGACATAGGGACCCACCCTAATGCAGTACAACCTCATCTTAACTAATTATACCTGCAGTTATCCTATTCCCAAATAAGATTACATTCTGAGCTGTTGAGGATTACGACTTCAACGTATCTTTTTTTGGGCAGAGTTCAACCCATAGCAGCTGCCAGGAGAGCTCTCATGAAAAAAACCAACTTTTAAATAATAGCCCCAACAAACATGAGAGGATGAGTCATGGGGATATGTTGGGAAAGAATGTTCCGGGCAGAGAAAATAGGAAATGCAAAAGTCCTCAAGCAAACGTATTCCTGGTATGTGCAAAAAACAATGTAGGCTAGAATGACTGAAGCAGAATAAGAAAGGAGGAGAGTGGTAGGTCACTGGGTCAGGAACTAACAAGGGCCCAGATGGCCTGCCTTTTAGGCTATGGTAAGAACTTTAGTTTTTACCATCATATAGATAAAAAGTCATATTCACAGATGAACAACACAATCTGACTTAGTTTCTAACAGAATCACTATGTTGGTATTAGATTGAATAGTCCAAGGAGTAATGAAAGGAACCCAGTTGGGAAGTAATAGCAAAATGCCCAGGTGAGAGATGATTGTGAGGGAACCAGAATATTAGCAGAGGATTTGGTGAGGGGTGATCAGATTCTGAATGTGTGCTGGTAGTAAAATCTATTAGAAATGGGTGCATTGATGATGCTGAAGAGACATCCTAAAGTAGATGAGAAGATGGCATTCAGTACACAAGCTCAAGAATCGGCCTTTGCTAAGAGCATGGCTGTTGGGTGACTGCCATTACCCACATTCTCAAGTGGGTAAAGGTAATCAATGAAGATCCAGAGGGCAGGTTTTGGTCCTTTTCTTCTTCCCTCATGTCTTAGTCGGCTCAGGCTGCCACAACAAATACCACAGACTAGATGAATTAAACGCAAAACATATATTTCTTATAGTTCTGGAGACTGGAAATCCAAAAGCAAGGTGTTAGTGAGGTTAATTTCATTCTGAGACATTTCCTCCTGGCCTTTAGGCACCTGCTATCTCACCATGTGTTCATGTGACTTCTTATTTGTGTGCAAGCAATGGAAGAGCACTCTGGAGTCACTTCTTAGAAGGACACTAATCCTATCAGATCAGGGCCCCACCCTTAGGGCATCATTTAACATTAATTTTTTCCTTAGAGGCTCAATGTCCAAATGTAGCCATACTGAAGGTTAGGAATTCAATATATGAATTGCAAGGGACATAAACATTCAGTCCATAACACCTCTCAATCCAGATTGTTGAGAAATAGTGATCTGAATTCGTACATCTGCCCTTCAGATTCAGTCTTCCACATAAGAGAAAGAAGTTTCTAGTCTAGCCTTTCTGGCTGTCATATAAAGCCAAACTAAGTTTTATCAGTTATAAAGGTGATATTTATTTTTATATAGACTGACATTTTAGCTTTGATATATTCCATTGAGTGGATATACCATATTAACTATCTCTCTGTTATTGGAAATTTTGTTTTTTCTAATCTTTATTCATTAATCAAAAAGGTTTTATAACTTTCCTTACACATATCTTACATATTTCCTGTTAAATTTAGTTCACAGTGGTGGCTTATGCTTGTAATACCAGCACTTTGAGAGGCAGAGGTGGGAGAATCACATAAGGCCAGGAGTTTGAGACCAGCCTGGGAAACATAATGAAACCCCATCTCTAAAAGAAAATTAAAAATTAGCAGATGTGGTAGCTTACATTGTAGTCCCAGCTACTTAGTGAGCTGACGTGGGAGGATAGCTTGAGCCCAGGAAGTGGAGGCTACAGTGAGCCATCACCATGCCACTGTAATCCAGCCTGGACAACAAAGCAAGACCCTATCTCAAAAAAAATACTTACTAAATTTTTCTTTTGTGTGTATTTTCTTTAATTAGGACACTTTTATAAGTATATATTAATATAGTCTATAAATAGTGATATTTTTTGTCATTTCCAAAATTATAGTTTCCATTCCTACCTCAAGTTTAACTGCATATTACAAAACTTATCCAAAAAATAGGTTAACATATAATGGTGTTATTGTCATCATTATATGTTTCTAATTTTATTGGGAATGTCTTTAAAGTTGTACTGCTAAACATAATGTTAGCTGTTTACTTAAAGCAAATACTATTTATGATATTAGCATAGAATCCTATTTCTGGGTTTATTTTTAATAGAATAATTGGGATTTTTAAATAGAAATGGTTGAAATGTTATTGAATGCCTTTTCCTCATCTCTTGAAAAGAATAGTTTTAATATATTTGATCTATTGATGGAATTTGTAATGTGTTACCCCATTTAGGCTGCTCTAACAAGCAACATAAGCCAGTGGCTTTTAAACAAATAACAGAAATTGATTTCTCACAGTTCTGGAGGCTGCAGAGTCCAAGATCAAGGCACTGGCAGATTCAGTGTCTGGTGAGTGCCCACTTCCTGGTTTATAGAAGGCATATTTTGTTATGTCCTCACATGGCAGAAAAAGGCAATAGCTTTCTGGGGTCTGTGTTATAAGGAAACTAATCATAATCATGATGGCTCTGTGGTCATGATCTAATCATGTCCTAAAGTCCCCACCTCCTATTCTAATACCACCACCTTGGGGGGTAGAATTTTAACATACAAATTTTGGGGAACACAAACATTCAGACCACAACATGTCATATTAATCTATATCTTGACATTACACCATCCTTGCATTTCTGGGATACTCTCAGATCACGTATGATAATGAGCTAGGTCAACAAAGCATAAAGGTCATGTAATGAAACTCATATTAACAGCCACTTCCACATTTAGGCAATTCACTATTTTGAAAAACAGTATATTGAAGTATTTTTAATTCTATGTTCATGAGTATTAACTATTTCCATGTTGGGAATGTAAGCACAAGAAGTTAAAAATGTACTCTGCAATTACGTTGGAAAGACCTGTCACCAAAAAACAAAAAGAGGAAGATATGCTCTCGTATCATTTTTCATACCATTTTCCTGCATAATTTTTGGCAAACATCTAAATGTAGCTATTTGCAACAATCAAGGAAATCAAATTATTGGATAGAGTGAGTCAAATAAATAATATGAACAAAATTACTAAATGACTGAATTCTTCATTTTCCAAGGCTGTTTAAAAGCTTATGTAACAAAAATGCATATGAATGTCTTTTTAAGAATGAACATTTTATTTCAGCATTGTCTAAAATGTGCCAAGATAAAATTGGTCTAAATTACAGAGTTGCATTGACTAATCCCTTTGAAATTTCTTCATCTATAATAAGAAGGCTAAATTTAGTTCCTAGAAGTAAGATGGAGCAAAAAGCAATTGACATCTTTGAGTCTTTTATTTCATGAGAAACTTGGGATATGAGTTCTCGGAAAATAGTTGTCACTTTGTTTATCACATTTATCTGTGTATAAGTGTTCATAAACCACAGTTTAATAACGCTAGTTATGAGGGGATGTAAAAGTGTGTATCTGTTCAACAAACCAGAAATATATTTATCTGACTTTAAAACACCACATATATAATGCTGATTTTCTCTAATTTTTTTGTTTTGAAAATATTTAAACTACAGAAAAATTGAAAGGTAAGTACACATATAGTCTTCATCAAACTAAACATTTTGCCACACTTACCTCTTCTTCTGTTTTTTTGTGATTAACTATTTGACAGGAAGTTGCAGATGTTGTATTTATGCCCTACTGCAGCATACATATCCTAAGAATAAGACAATCACCTACATTATTATACTAAGAAAGTCCATATTAATGCAATAATATCCAAAATACACTATGCATTTCAATTGTCCTCAAAAGAAGTATCTTTCTTTTTTCCTATCCAGGAATTAATCCTTACCTTTGGTGTTCTGTCTCTTTACATTTTTTGGAATTAGGATGGTGCTTTCCTCCATTTATATTTTGAGGGTTTTTTTGTTTTGTTTTAAATGGCATTGTGTTTTGTTCAGGCCAGTTGTCTTATAGAATTTATCTACATTCTGGATTTGTCTGCTTATTTTCCAAGATTAAATTCAGTTTAAATATTTTGGCACAAACATATTACATAAGGGATATTACATACTTTTTACTGCACCATACCAAGAAGCATTATCAGTGATGATGCTAAATTTGATCATTTATTTAAGGCTCTGACTTAAAGTTGTAATTTTTTTCTTTCTATTTAGCAAATAATCTGTTGGATAATACACTGGCATCTTATCAATATCCTATTCCCTAAAAATTTTTTACCCCATGGTTTTAACACCTATTGGTCATCTTTTCCTGAATCAGTTATTATAGACACTGCCTATTTTAACACAATAAAAATACTTTCCATATCTGAGAATAACCTATGTGCAGTATTTATAGCTGTCTTCTTTTTAGATCCTCTTTGTGCACTGTAACAGTTAATTGTGTAGCAAATCCATCAATTTATTGCATCAATATCATTAACAAACAACAGGAGTTTTGACGTATTTTGTTTTTTCAAAATATTGTAAATGTCTTTATGAATGTCTTTGAACAAAGTGAGCTTTGTATAAATGGTTATAACATGCTACCAATGATTTCTCTCAAACCATGGCAAAGAAAATATACATAATGGTACCCTTTTGTCTAAAGTGCATCTCCTACCTTGGAGAAACCATTTCCTCCTTCCTAGTTCAGTGTTTTCATTCAGGACATCATTGTTTACATGACTATTTAATCAAACCAATTATCACAGAGTAATCCCAATTTCATAATTACAGTCCTTTCTCTTACTTAGAAGTGCTCAGAATTTACACCCATTTGACAATTAAAGCTCCAAAACAGTTACTAAAGCCTTTTATATCTGGTTTTCATTAGTTCATATTAAACGATTCATTGGCTTGATTTTCACTTCAGTGAACCCTCTCATAAAATCTGGTGAGACATTGTGGTGATATAGCACGTGAAAAGAAATGAATTAATACATCAGCAAAAACACTGCCAAGCTGACTATCTTAACACATTTTATTATCTCGTGGATATACTTGTCACTCATGAGAGATATATCAAAATGAGCAGAGTGAGGACTCTAAGCAGTTTCAAGGCTGAAGGGATGAAATGAGGCACGGGCTCTGCTTTCATTTACGGAGCCAGGTGTGTGTGTAGTCAGCAAGTCTCTCTGGAGAGGCATTATTCAGTGGGCAGTTTCCCAGTATTATAGAGGTTCCCATTAATGCCCCTGCAATTAAGGTTTTTATGGCATTTTACTATTTGAGGCCATAATTTCAGATTGGTACATAGGTTGTATGTGTGTGTGAGAGAGATTTATTTTAACTTATAGTAAATGCTGAGTGCAAACTCAGCTTTATTGTGGAATAAGACTGTATGCATGGCACATGTGTGTACATGTGTGATTGTATGTTTCTGTATTACAGAAGTGTGCATCTTTTTATATCTGAAAGCATAAACGTCAATATTTTTAAATCCAGTAATTTTAAAGGATATACTTTCTTAAGTTTATTCATGGGAACTTAGAGAATGCAACAAAAACTGTATTTGCTTTAAAAAAAAACTTAAGATAGTAGTTTGGATAATCTTCTAAATCTACGTAAATCATTTCTTATAAATGAAGTCAATTATGAAGATGATTTAAATGCTGTTGTTGATCATTGGCTGTGTCTAACAATGTCTGGTAAGATGGAAAGCAGTAAAAACATAGAAACACAGGTACAAGAAACAGCCCTCTGAAATGCAGCAGCCACCTCCATTCTCCTCTAGTAATATTAATAAAAAAAATCTGCCTTAGGATAACTAGGTCTTCAACTTTTCAAAAATACACCTAGACAAAATTTACATATCCTAAGAGATAGATATGGTGCTTTGTAAACTCTAAAAAGTTATAAACATTTATAAGAATATAGAGACCAGGGGCTGTACATTAACTCACCAAAGGTAAATTGCTTTCACATTTTCCAATCAAGAACACAACAGTGGTTTTTATGTCTGGAAATTGAATTTGGCCTAACAGCAAAAATAAGAGATGCAACTTCATTTTATAGTGATGTGAAGACATATCTCACTTCCTGAGACCAAATGTAAATGTCAGGTCAGAAGCACATTCAAACCAGCTCTTTCATTTGCTCATGTGTGAATGTTAAAAATCTTTAAGCCTGTTTGACATCTCCAGAATATAAGATTTTCATTGGAAGACATTTTTGTCATTTTTGAAAAATTTTTTAGAGACGAAGCCTCGCACTGTTGCCCAGGCTAGAGTGGATTGGCATGATCATAGTTCACTGCAGCCTCAACCTCCTGGGCTCAAGCAGTTCTCCTGCCTCAGCCTCCTGAGCAGTTAGGACCACAGGTGTACACCACCATGGCTGGCTAATGTTTTTTTATGTTTGTAGAGATGGGGGTCTCACTGTGTTGCCCAAGTTGGTCTTGAATTCCTGGGCTCAAGCAATTATCCTGTCTTGGTCTGGGATTGCAGGCATGAGCCACTATGCCTGGCCTTGTCTGTTATTTTTTGAACTCTTTATCCCTAGGCTGGTAAGTAGTAGGTGTTCAATAAATATTTGTTGAATGAACATTTGTTGTTCTTTTCTCTAGTTGCAGATCCTTCTCTTGTTGCTTAAGCATTGAGCTAAAGTAGTCATTATACTTTTCAGAATGCTCTTCTCTCCCTAAACTCTCTTCATTAATACATCAACTCAGGGCTTCCTCCAACTTCTCTTTAGATATTGGTCCAAAAGATACTTCTCCAACACTAACTACTCTCACAAGTTCTAATTTCTCCATTAGTTGACTGATGCTTCACCTCAGTGTCTTTCGGATTTAAAATTTGATGTAATTATAAAGAGCCCTGGATTTGGAATCAGAAGATATGATATCACATCCTAGCTTTGTTAGCTACAAACTGCACTGAAGTTAAATGACATTATCTGGGTCTCTGAACTTCTGTTTCTTCATCTATAAAGTAGAGATAAAAATAATTAACTCCCTAAATTTATGACAATACAATTAAATTTGTGTGAAAAGCTTTTTGTAAAGCCCACAGCATTGTATACATGTAAGGGAGTTATCATTGTCATCATTATTCCTCATGCCAAGCTTGTGTCAATTTCCCCATTGGTTTATAAGATCAGTCTTTTACTTGACTTCCTACTTGGCTAGAAGAGTTAGGAGACCCTAGTAGCAGATGACTTTTCCTAAAGCACAACTCAGATTATGTTATTCCTTCATGCAAAATTCTTCCACGCTTCCCTGTTTATCTATTCCAATGTCCAAACTCTTTTGTCTTGACTTTAAGATCACATGTTACTTTTTCTTCTGATTCATTTGATCCTTCCTCCTATTCATTATGCTCCTGTGAAATATTATTTCACATATTAGTCATCAAGCTTTTCCTCTTTCAATTCCCTTTTCAAATGGCTTCTGTCTCCTTGAATTCCATTTCTCTTCCGGTGTTCAAATCTTGTCCTTCAAGACTCAATACACCTGGTGTGTTCTGCTCTCCCAAGAAACAAATGTCAATATCGGATTAGATATGTAAGAGATTATTTTTTTCAGAAAAGGCCTGTAAAATCTAAAGAGGAGGGAGAAGAAGGCAAGGACCTACAAGTCTGAAACGTGAGGAAAAAGTAAAAGGAAGGACAATCATGGAGGAAGTGTATTATCCTTCAGCAGATTTTTGTGAAAGTTTCAGCCAGACCAGTGTGAAATCTTCAATTCCGAGTCTCCTATTAGAGAAGCTCCACATCTCAAAGGAATGAGCCAGAATTAGAATCACCACTCCTATGACTGAATATTTGTGTCCTCTCCACCAAATTCATATGTTAAAATCCTAATCTTCAAGGTGGGGGTAGGAACATTGCGAGGTGATTAGGTAGTCCACCCTCATGATTGGGATTAATGAACTTATAAAAGAGGCTGGAGAAAAATTCCTCATCCCCTTGACATGTGAAGGCAAAGCTAACATGCATAGTCTATGAACCAGAAAGTGGGCCCTCACCAGACACCAAATATGCTGGCACCTTCATTGTGAAACTACCAGCCTCTAGAACTATGAGACATAAATGTCTGTTGTTAGTAAACACCAAGTCCCTGGTATTTTGTTATAGCAACTCGCATGGACTAAGACACATGCTCAGTGATTAGCTCATTTGATCCTATAGAAAGGGTGGCCTAAGCTCAAAGACAGCAGTAGACCCAGAGAGCCACCTGTTGGAACTTGCAGTTAACTACTTTCCCATGAGCAGGGAATCTGAGTGGTATATTTTCATGGCCTCCATGCACGGCAACCTATAAGATGTTTCACCCATCCTTCTACTCAACCATCATAGAATGTTACCTCTGAAACTCTCAAGAAACTTATCACTTTCAACCTAAAATTTAGTTACATATGTAATAGCTTGCCTACTAGATTATAAGCTCTTTTAGGAGATAAACCATTTCTGTTTCATTTTTGTTTTTTCTAATGCACACATTGGATTTGAAATATAGCTGTGGACTGGGTAGCCATGAGGGAGATGCTCTGAGGGACTAAAATCTAGCTGTGGGGGGAAAAACCATGTTTTGATTATCTATTTGTAACAAACTACTTCGAAGTTTAGTGGGTAAAATATTAGAAATTGATTATTATTCCATGATTCTGTGGTTTGATTGGGTTGATCATGAAGCTCCCTTTTTTCATGAGATATCATATAGGCCCCCAGGTATAATTAAAGGTCCAAATGGCCTCACTCATGTGGATGAATGCTGGGGCTGTTAGGCAGGGACTTCAGTTCTCCATGTAGATTATTCCATATAGCTATTTGGCCTACCTCATATTATAGTATGTCTGGGATCCAAGGAAGATGTTTCAAGAAGACAGTTTAGTGCCTGATTTTAATGTTGCATTGGCCAAAACTAGCCACATGAGCAAGCCTAGAGTTGATATGGAGGGAACTCAGATGGGCATGACTATCAAGGGGCATGCATCAGGGGGAGCCAACAAAGTCCCACACACCATTTAGATGATACATGAAAAACTGGTTCATCAGAATTAGATTGTTAAAGTAATTGCAAGGAATAGAAAAAGGGTAGAGGAAATAGGAATAAGGAGATAAGATTTTGAAAAAAGATTTGACAGAAGAAGATAGACTATATTATCTTGAAGACTACTACTTTTGAAATTATATATAATTTTTAAATTACATCACCAACTTTACATGACAGTAACATAAATCTCAGACTTAAGCAAACAATACTAATTTGGGAGATGTCCAGAATAGACAGAGTTTTTTCAAATATCCAAAAAACACACATACACACACACACACACACACACACACACACACACACACACACAGAGTTTTGTTTGAGAATCTCATAACATTATGCCCACAAACCTCATGCATGCTAGATTTTATTAAATATTCTGAGAATAGAAATAATATTTAAAAATCCAGAATACAATGAAAAATAGGAAGAGAAAATACAATTAAAAATAGGAAGAGAAATTAACATGAGCAATTTTAGAGTTGTAATGCCTTTGACCCATTTCATTTCTAAAAGCATTCAGCCAACTACAATGACTATATAATTAACCAAATAGAGAATATTTCAAGATAAACTTTTAGCAAATTATCTTAGTGTTTAAAATGAGCAGATTTTCAAACTGTAGGGCAGTTTCTCCAAAGGGATTCACTGTACCCTTAGGTGTCTGGAGCTAGTAATGAAGGGTCCTTGGGCTGTTTTATAAATTTAGAAACATAAGATATATCAGCTAAAGTAAAGGAAATCACCAAGATATTTTGCTTTTGCCTGAAGTTATATCAAGCCAGTATAATAGCCTTAGTTTTTATCTAATAATCATAAGCTCAGTTAGAAATTTGCTTATGTCTTTTTACTATGAAATGAGAAAATATTTATAGCTCTAAGAGGAGAACTATGTCCTCAGGACCTTGAATAGTCCTTGATTTACAGTAGACAACCAATGGTATTTGTATAATAAATAAATGAAAGCAAATTAATCTGGTGATTTAGTAGAGAAAATATCTCCAAACACGGGATTCATGAAAGCAAAACTATAAATGAAGTCTTTGTTGAGAAGATAGGGAGTCTTATGTCTTCTAGGTACTAAAATATCCCACCCAATATCACTAGAGTCATTACTAAATATGAGTAACTACATACTCCCAAACCAATGAACTAATGTCCACGGTGATTGGCTCCAAACGTTAACTGGGTTATCACTGGACAATAAACAGCTATAATTTTTATCTTAAACATGACTTTAAGAATCATTTTGATGTACTGATGTAGTGGAAGTTGAAGCAGAAGGCTTTCTGTACTGCAACTTCTGTATTAATTATGGCTTCAGTTTTATATATGTCCCACTCATAGTTGCTAGGGCTATAGAATTGTAACCCTCCTGCCCCCACACATGGCAACTTGATCATTGAAGAGTATTTTAGATGCGAGAATATATATTTCCTTTTTCTTTAGGACACCAAGTTACTTAAAATAATTGCTTATATTTTAAAATACCCAATTCTAAGGCATTCATAATGCTTTTGAGGCCACTTTTCTTATCTCTACAAGAGGGGTCACATACTCAGGTTCTTCTTACACAACTCTAAGGGGTAACTTGATGACTTGTTTGTAAAGTCACTCATGGAACTGAGGAAAGAACATAGATTGCTGACCACAATTCTACACCACCTTTTCTAGTACACATTTCATCAACTGTACTATATTTAAAATGCTGAAAAGCATCACACCTGCAATATTTTTTTTACTAATTTTACCTAATATATTAATTTGAAATGTATGTATTTGAAGTATTACATCATATACTCATTAAAAAATAAAAATCAGTAGCCAATAAATATTGCTATATAACCAAAAGGTGCTTTACTGAACTCATAAATTCAAATTCTGAGGTGACCTAGAATAAACATAATATATATGCTTTTCTCAGGTAAATTGTGTATGCAAGCAAAATTTAACCAAAATATTTCTTCTAATATCTAATATGATAATAAAAGTTTTGATGACTTAAATACATTTTGATATTTATCCTATATTTACATGAGAGCCTAGAATGGCTCTATTAGCAACATCATAATATATGCCTATACATTTAAAACTATAGTTATATATATTACCAGGAGACGAATGCTCACGTATAAAGTATATTTCCAAAGTAAGCATAATAACCTATTTGTCTAGGTCTTAAATATATGAGAACATATTACTCCTTTCACTACTCTATGTGCAATTTTTCAAGATATACAAATATCATTGAAATATTTAAGCGCTTTGTGAACATATCATTGAAAGGCCTTAAACATCTTTGCAAATATTATTGTGAAAACACTTGTAGGATCAGGAATAAACTCTTCTGATAAACAAATCAGCTCAGTCACTGTGTAATACTAACTCTAGTAGAACATGGCTAAATATAATTAGATCCTCTTAAAAGAATAAGCCCTAAATAATACTTCTTGTCATTTCTTTCAAATTGTTTAAGTATTTGAGAGATTAAATATTCTAATGGATTATTTTCAAGTTTTGAATCTTATTTTTAGTAGTAAGACTTTAAGTATTATTGGCAAGGAAAACTAAGTGAAAGTCGCTCCTTATCTGGGAATGACAGTTACCAAATTGATAAAACAGAGTTTGACTGTGAAGGATAATTGTTTTTATGTCAACTAGGATTCTTTAATTTGATTAGCTGTTCAAGTGCTGCACATTTTAAAAATATAAACGTATATTAAATGGAAATACAGCATTTGTGAACATTAATATATTCACTAACTATTGTTTCAAAATGAGTTATTAGAGCCACTAGTTACATCAATAAAGGTAAATTTTGTTTAAGCAATAGGAGTTTCAGTTTTGAATATAATGAAATAGCCTCCTTTTACCTTAGTCCTTCTGCTAAGTACAAGTAAAAATCCCCCCACATAATAAAGCAAAATAAGAAGAGTTTGAAAGGTAGAAAGAAGGAGGCAGATCTTGAGATTTGAGGAATAACAGAGTAGTGAATTCCTAGGTTGTCTTTCTGTTTCTCACATATCCCTGACTAGGGGCTGGAGAAGCTGGCAATTCAGAAATGCCAACAGGCACAGATAAAAATTGGTCCAAGAAAAGACTGTTCTGTCTAGCCAAAGAACCAGGAAAAGAGTGGCTTAGAAGAATAGAAAACCTCAACCAACACCACAGGAAAAACAACATGTTCTTCCCACCTCATCACCATCACCTCTTCTTCCTCTCCAGTGGTGTCATCAGAGTCCAAGTGGAGAGCCTGGGCCTCCATCATCATCAGATGGGCAGTAAGCAGCCCTCTGCTTCTCCTGTGCAGTGGGGAGGTTGGGCTTGCAACCCCACTCAGCTTTAAGAGGTGGGGTTATACTACTCCAATCCTGCTAGTGCCAGAGGAGGGCCACTGGAGAAGTTGGACCATCTCCCTGCACTGGCAGGAGGAACTCCTTCCCCTCCCAAATAGAGTGTTGGGCAGAATTTCAGAGAACAGAGGATAGAGCTAGTAAAAAGCATTCTTCAAACTTATATAGAAAGTCCTTAGCAAATTATTAAGATGCCCACATGAGAAATCTACCAGATTTAATATGGCAAAAGATTTGAGAGCTGAACTGCTGTGTGGAAAATCACACGAGTTTTCAGATCAGCCTTTGAGTACCACACAAAGAAGAGCAGAATAGCACTGCAAAGACTCTGAAAACAAAATTATTGTAACCACAAAAGTAGGCCAGAGCATGTATGCTAATCCTAAACAAGGTAATGCCCAATAAAATAGAAGTTTTAAATAGGATCTAGAGTCTAATAATACCAGAAATTTCTAGGATACATTTGAAAATCATTGTAATATCAACAACCAGAATAATCACACTAGAATTAGCAATTCATAGATACCAAGGCCAAACAGACACAGTTATCAAAATTATCTGACGGAATTTCAGTGCAACTATCCAAAAACACTTCAGTGAGCAATTACAAACACTCTTGAAATAGAAAGTTTCAATGAAAGAAGATTGTTTTAAAAGAACCGAATGAAAATTACAAAATGGAAAAACACAAAAACCAACATAAACATTTCACTGGATGTACTCAATAATAGAATAGAGATAACAGAGGAAAGAATCAATAAATCTGAAGACTAATCAATAGAAAATTACCCAATTTGAGCAAAAGAGAGAAAATAGACTGAAAACAAAACATGAACAGAGCTTTGGGACCATGTAGACAATACAGAAGATCTAAAACTTATGTCATGGAGGTCCCAGAAGGAGAGGATAAAAAGGGTCAGGCTGAAAAAGTATTTGATAAAGTCATAGCTAAAAATTTACCAAACTTGGCAAGAAGAAAAACTCTATGTATTCAATAAGATTAATGAGTCCCAGAAAGAATAAACTCATCGAAATACATATTAAGACACATTATACTCAAACTTCTGAAAACAAAAGAAAAAATCTGGAAAACTGCTAGAGTAATATGGCTTATGAGGCAACAATGAATCAAATGACAGCAGATCTCCTCTGAAACCATGGAAGCCAGAAGGAAGTGGCAAAACTTGCTTTAAGGGCTGAAAGGAAAGAACTTCAATACAGAACAAATTTCTATATACCTCAAGAAAGAAGGAAAAATAAAGACATTTTCAGATGACAAAATTAAGATAATTTCTTGCCAGATAACCCAACCTACATAAATGGTTAGTAGGTCTGCAGCTAGAAGGGAAATTATAACAGAAGGAACTTGGAACATCAGAGGAGAAAAAATAATATTAGAATGGGAAAAACAGGAATAAATAGAGTATTCTCATCTTGAGTTTTTAAGTCTTTAAAGTTAAAGACTGTTAAAGATTTAAAGCTGCACTTTCCAATACACAAGCCACTTATGATTTGCGGCAATATAACATTTGAAATGCAGCTACCCTGAGTAGAGATGTACTTTAAGTCTAAAATACACACTCCATTTCAAAGACTTAATACAAAAAAACTGTAATGTATTTCATTAACAGTTTTGTTGATTATATATTGAGACAATAGTATTTTTGACAGATTAGATTAAATGAAATGTTACTGAAATTGAAATTAACTTTATCTGTTTCTGTCTCATTTTTCTAGCGTGGCTACTAATAATATTATATATGTGACTCCCATTTGTGACTTGCATTAAGTGTTTATTGTGTCACGTGCAGTTGCTGCATTAGGTGGACAGGTGTCGGAATGAGCTTGAGAAGTCTGAGGATGAGTAACTCCCAGACAAGTTAATCTGCTGCTGAGAGAAGAATAGGCACTTCTGCATTGGGCTGGGTCTGTCTCAGGATTGTCCAGACAAAGGATATGGGCATATTTCCAGGAGACCAGATGTAGGCCCAATGTGAGATAGCCTGGTGAGCTTGCATTGAATCTTTTGCCCAGGAATTCCACTCAGAGGGGCAATGGGACCCCAACAGTGAGAGAGAGAGTTTATGTGGCAGTGAAACACTGAGAACCAGGGAGAAGAAGATAGCAGGAGAGTGAGGGCATTACCTAGTCAAGGGAATTGTAGGAGAAGATTCTCGTTGAGCCATTGGGGTCACGCAGATCAGTCTCCAAAGAACCCACAAGTGTATCCCATGAGGGAAAAGTTAGCTTTAAATGCCTACCTGCTCAAAGAGCGCATTTCAACTCTGAACAGTATTAGTCAAATGTCTAACTCCTTTCTTTTTGTCCTCTCCTTTCCCATGCCACTTAGGGGTCAGACACTATAACTGACAAGATGAAGAAGGGGCACAGATGCCAATTGGAGAAACAGCAGACAGCACCCCTCTTTCCTGCTTGCATTGGCTAGCCTTACCACAAGCACAGGCTGAGAAAGGGGGTGTATTAGTCTGTTTTCATGCTGCTATAAAGAACTACCTGAGACTGGGTAGTTTATGAAGAAAAGACATTTAATTGACTCACAGTTCCTCAGGCTGTACAGAAGCATGGCTGGGAGGCCTCAGGAAACTTACAATCGTGTCAAAACATAAAGGGGAAGTAAGCACATCTTACCATGGTGGAGCAGGGGATTGAGAGACAGAGAGAGAGACAGACAGACAGACAGAGAGACTGAGACTGCTACACACTTTGAAACCATCAGATCTCATCGGATCTGGTGAGAACTCTATCACAAGACAGCCCTAGGGAGGATGGCGCTAAACCACTGGAACCCCCGACTATGATCCAATCACCTCCCACCAGTCCCCACCTTCAATAAGTGGGGATTACAATTTGACATGAGATTTGGGTGTAGACACAGAGTCAAACCATATCAGGGGGCATAGTTAGTATTTTAAATGAGCTTAAAATGTTGAATATTACCATGGACTGAAAATATTAATTACTGTTTAGAGGAGATGTCATCATCTGAAGTAACTAGGTAAGCCTGAACACTTGCCCTAAATTTCATCCAAAAAAAGAACTATGACTAGGGGAAAAATTAATAATCAGAACAAATAAAAAGAGGAGAAAACAAGAATAAGCATACTTTGTGCTTATATCCCACTAGACATGCTTGATCCACTCGTCGGCTATTTTGGGAAGAAAGAGGAAAGACTAGAGGGGAAGCTGTTCACCTATATAGCAGTAGTATTTGAAGAGGCAGTAATGAGATTACTAGTGGTTTTTATTTTCCTATTCTCTGATAGGATTTTTTTTTATCTTATAACCTAATGGGATTCACACTTTAAGATTTCTTGTGCCTCCAGATCAAAACAAGATGCCTCTCTTCAGTTAATATACAACTTTCTCTCAGAAAGATGGAATGGTTTCTTACTAAGAGCTGTTGCATGCCTACAAAATATTCAGATGCATTCAAACTACAGTTTATTCTTTAACATTTCAACACAATATATTAAACATCATTTTTACTATTATATATTTTGAAATTTTTAAGTTGCATTTAACAAAAAAAAATCATTTACGGTGTGTTTAAAAGGGTTAGTTTTTAGTCTGAAGTTAATGTGGTAGAGTCAGAGATCTTAGGGTTGGGCACTGGAAATAACAGGATATTGGTACGTGCACAGAAATAATGCTTCATAGGTCCTCATTCATGTTTCTTAACTTCACTTAAAAAGCTTATATACACACACATACATACAATATTTTATATATTCCACACCATTTTGCTCATAAAATTATGTATTTTTGGGAAATTTACTACAGAAATACATAGTTTATAATATCATTTGTTATCTTTCAGGGACTTTTTCAATAAGTTTTTCTATAAGAAATCTTTAATTTTTTATTACATATATTTAAGGGTGTGCATTCCTGGACAATCAGAATGATTTAATTCAAAACTTTAGTTATAATTTTTTTTTTTTTTTTGAGATGGAGTCTCGCTCTGTCACCCAGGCTGGAGTGCAGTGGCACGATCTTGGCTCACTGCAAGCTCCGCCTCCTGGGTTCACGCCATTCTTCTGCCTCAGCCTCCCGAGTAGCTGGGACTACAGGCGCCCGCCACTACGCCCACCTAACTTTTTTTTTTTTTGTATTTTTAGTAGAGACAGGGTTTCACCGTGTAAGCCAGGATGGTCTCGATCTCCTGACCTCGTGATCTGCCTGCCTTGGCTTCCCAAAGTGCTGGGATTACAGACGTGAGCCACCATGCCCGGCGATATTTTTTAATTTATAGAAATGCCCAACCTCCTTCAGAGGAGCATTGGAATTTAATTAATCACTTGACTCATGAGAATATAAAGTGTTAGATCAGTGTGAAGATTTTTTTGTTACAGTTTTTTCTTTGTCCAGAGTACAGAGCTGTGAATTAATTTCTACTTCACCCTCATAAAGAAAAATATTTTTAATGTAAATAAGTATTAGAAGAGATTATTTGAAGTGTCAGTCAATAATTTTGCTGTTTGGGTGATGGTGAGTATGCAATTGAATGTCACGAGAGAAAAGATGCATAGAGAAACTTTCTTTATCTTCTTCATGTTGTTTTCATGTATCAGATGGGATCTGGTAGCTAAAACAGCGAAATATGACTGAACTAGTGGAAAAACAAAGAAATCAAATATTATAAGAAGCTGATATGTCTACATTGAAAAAAGTAATACAAATACATATGTGCATGGATGTGTATGTACGTATATATATGTGGAGAGAGACAAAGACAAACACACAGAGGGAATACCAGGAGTGTTGTAGACAGAATTCCAAGATGGCCTCCAAATTTCTTGTTCTCTGCTATATTTGCCATGTATATGTTTTTCTCTTGAGTGTGGCCAGGGCTTATGGATATGAGGGGATATTCCATTTCCTTGATTAGATTACATAAGACATGATCATGGCAAGCTTGAGAGATTAATTCTCTTGATGACTTTTTAAAAAATAAATTGTGATTCTATGAGAAGGCCAAGGCCTAGGCTAGCCAAGGCTAGGACCAGAGGGCAGCCTTAAGGAACTGAGAATGATCCCAGAGCTGAGCTCCTTTCTGCAGCCTCTACAGAAAGCATGTTTTCTAGCTGTTTCCAGCTTCCAGAGGACACCTACATTCTTTGGCTAGTGGCCCCTTCCCCCATCTTCACACCCAGCAAGTATGGTTCAAGTACTTCTCGTATCAAAGCACTCACTTCTTCTAATTTCCTCCACATTTAGAAATTATTGTGATAATATTGGACCCAATGGAATAATCCAAGAAAATCTACCTCTCTTAAAGTCAGCAGATTAGCAACTTTAAATCCATCTGCTACTTTAATTTCTACAGATTTGCCATGTAATGTAACATATTCTTAAATTCCAAAACCATGGACATCCTTGGGGAGCCATTATTCTGGCTGTCAAATACCTCAACCAAAAATGGGCATTAGGGTAATGATATAAAGACAACACAAACATTTCAATTTTAGGAGTTTATTCAAAAAATCTTAATTATATGCTCTTATTCACATTTAGAACATTTGCAGTTATTAAAACACAACAATGCTAAATGTGCTTTATATCTTTCTATGTCATTTCTCATACATTGTAAAGGTTTTTTTTCAAAATAAGTTAAACCAATATTATAAATAGAAATGTTAATACACACCTTAATAAAGACATAAAATATATTCAAAAGTAGTATATTAAACTAGTATTTATTTGACATTATTATCTTCCAATTAATTGTGTACTTTAGTAAAAGAGCCAAAAGCCTCTCCTTATTACTTAGGATAATCAGGTATGTTGGCAGATTCATGTTATATTAAAAGCTTCCTTTTTATTTTATGGAAAATTAATTTTATGAAATAGCAAGATTAGCTCTCTGAATGAAAATCCAAATATAATATTAATATAAATATGTTAAGATAAAATATTTATAGAAAAAGAGTAGGGATAAACTGTATGATCTCACTTCATTATTCCTTAAACCCATTCCAATTAAAAAAAACTACAAGTCAATTCTGCTTATAAATGCCACTAATGATATTCATTATATTACAAAACTATAAGTCTACTTTTTCCAGAGCCTGGTGAAAATTCTTGTTCAGTTAGTATTATTGAATTACAGACTCATTATCTCTTAGAAAACTTATTTTGTCTGTCTGTCTCTGTTCACCAATTTAACTGTGCTCACCATATATCATGGGCAATGCTCCTCTCGTTCAGAGAATGATTCATGATAAATATGTTTATGAAATAAGCAAATACATTCCTTGGTGAAAACAAATTGTACTATGGAGCCTTTTGCTCTAAACAAAGAAAAGTTTTACCTCAAGGAAAGAAATACATAAAATCAGCTCAACAAATCCTTGTGTTCTCAGCCACAGGCAAACAAAAAAATATGTATCAACCTGTGGGGCTTGTGTAAATAATATATAATACTTGAAATATTATCAGACAAATGAAATTTACTTTAGATTGTATACTCTAAACTAGGTGGGAGGTGGTATGAAATTCATTGTAATTTAAAATATACACATATTAGCTTAGAAGAGGACAAATATGTACACTAAGACTGACGAGATCACTGTAATCAATGCTGTAGTTTACAGTCTGATGAATGTGGCAATTTTTTGTTTGCATTATTTGTTAGTTGCTTTTTTGTTTATTCTAAATACTGCATTATGCCTTATAATGCAAATTCGCGATTTGAAAATACTTTAAGAGACGGTGTCAAAGGCCCTTTAAACCTACAGTCTGGCCAAATTAAACAATGGTGTGGTGTTATAGTTCTCAGAGAAATTACTCTACAGGATCCTCTTATATTCAACAACTATTGTGCTTGAACAGTGTATTGAAGATGACAAGACCAGCAAGCAAGAATCCCTACTGATTCTCCCACTTTAGAGTGGGTGGATTTATCAGTGAAGTTAAGGGCAAATATTCTTTCAAGATTCTCCTGCTAAAAAATCAACACAGACAAATCAGTAGCATTTCTGAAAAAGAAATCAAGAAAGCAATCCCACTTGCAATAGCATCAAAAATAAAATATATAGGAATAAATTTAAATAAAAATACATGGGAATAAATTTAAATAAAGAGATGAAAGATATTTACATAAAAATTATGAAACATTGATGAAATAAATTGAAGACAAATATATCCTTTGTTCATGTATTTCAATAATTAAAATTTTTAATACGTGCATATGACCCAAAATGATATACAAACTTAATGCAATTTCTATCAAAATTCCAATGACATTTTTCACAGAAATAGAAAAAGCGATACTAAAATTCATGTGGAAACACAAAAGATGTCGAATAGCTAAAGCAAAAAGCACAAAGTTTGAGGCACTATACTACCTGGATCTCAAAATCTACTAGAAAGCTGTAGCAATCAAAACAGTATGATACTGGCATTAAAACAGAACATAGATTAATGGACCAGAATAGAGATCTCAGAAATAAACTCAGGGATATACAATCAACTAATTTTTGATAACAGCACCAAGGAGACACCATGGGGAAAGGATAGTTTTTTTTTCAATAAATGGTGTAGGGAAAATGGGATATTCACATGCAAAAGAATGAAATTCGACCCTTGTCTTACAACATATGCAAAAATCAACTCAAAATGAATTAAAAACTAAATGGAAGACCAGAAACCATAAAACTCTAGAAGAAAACAGGGGAAAAGCTCCTTGACACTGGTATTGGCAACACTTTTTTGGATGGGATGCAAAAAGCACAGGCAATCAAACAAAAATAAACAAGTGAGACTACAACAAACTATAAAGCTTCTGTGCAGCAAAGGAAATAAAATGAAAAGGCAATCTGGATTGGGAGAAAATAATTGCAACCGTTTATCTAATAAGAGTTTAATATACACAATATAGAAGGAACTCACACAACTCAATGGCAAACAAAACAACCCAATTTAAAAATGAGCAATGAACCTGAATAGACATTTCTCCAAAGACAGTTGGCAAGGGTGCAGAGAAAAGGGAACACTCGTGTAATGTTGGGAATGTAGATTAGTGTAACTATTGTGGACAACAATATGACAGTTCCTAAAGAAATTAAAAATAGAACTATCATATGACTAAGCAATCTTTCTTTTGAGTATATTCCCAAATAAAGTGAAATCACTGCCTCATAAACAGAGCTTCACTCCTATGTTCATTGCAGCATTTTTCACAATAGCCAAGATATGAAAAAATTTTCAGTGTCCGTCTACAGATGAATGGATAAAGAAATTGTGGTATATGCATACAATGAAATTTTATTCATTCTTAAAAGAGGAGAGTCTGCTGTTTGCAGCAACGTGGATAAACCTAGAAAGCATTATGCTAAGTTAAATAAGCCAGACACAGAAAAAGAATCAAACGTGGAATCTTTACAAAAAAAAATTGAATACATGGAAACAGAATCAAGCTGAGGCTACTAGGATCAGGAGAAATAGCAAGACGCAGGACAAAAGGTACCAAGTTGCAATTTTGTAGAAGAAATGTCTAGAGATCTAACAAATACCATGAGAAGTATAGTTAATAATATTGTGATTGTAACGATAATTGGCCAAGAGAGCAGATTTTTAGGTACTCTTACCACACAAAAAAAGGAAAGAAAAACAAAAGTAGTTATGTGAGATCATGGGTATGTTAATTTGCTTGACAGTGGCAATCGCTTGACTATACATACGTATATCAACGAAAGAATATCAAAACATCATGTTGTATACATTAAACATATACAGTAAGAATTATTTAACTAGTTAATTAAAATATAATACAGAATTTCCTGCATATACCTAGATATACAGTTCTGTAAAATTAAGATAGTTGGAAAATTCTGAGTCAAGTAGCACTTTGAAGTGCTCCCAAGAAATTTAGTTGTCCAGAAATCTAGAGTTTTACTGGAGTCCTCCGTAAATCTCAAACATATGTAATGGCATCCCAACTACAGGCAAGTTCCTGTGGTTTAGAGTTCACGAGAAACCCCTGGGACAAAAATAAAATAAAATAAAAATGAAGTCATATTCTATTTAACCTCTTCTCATTGTGTTCCCAGAAGTGGGAGAGAGTTCCTAAACACAATTTTCAATCCCACTTCAGTTATTACGAATTACCAAATGCCACAAGTTGACAGTGTGCACTAAATGAAAAGTGTGTACAAAAGAATGCCTGGCTTGTGGTTGTTGTACAGGATGAATGTTCAGTAAATGCTTGGAATTTAAACCAAAATGTACTATATTCTGATCTTGTATATAACAGTATTGTTCTAATATACCTCATAATGACATATAATTGGATTAAAAATGGTTAGCCTAAAATCTCTGTCATAAAATATCAACAGTATTACATAAAATATGCTTAATGTTTGCTATGGACTGAATTATGTCTCTCCCTGCTAAATTTACATGTGAGGTCCAATGTGAGCATATTTGTAGATAGGGCCTTTAAGGATATAATTAAGGTTAAATAAGGTCACAAAGGTGGGGCTCTGTCCATAGGATTAGTGTCCTTGTAAGAAGAAACACCAGAGATCTCACTCATTCACTCTTCATGCACACTCAGAGGAACAGCCATGCAAAGACACAGCAAGCGGGAGGCCATCTGAAAGCCATGAAGACAGCCCTCACCAAAACTGAACCCTGCTGACACTTGGTCTGGAACTTCTAGCCTCCAGAACTGTGAGAAATAAATTTCTGTTGTTTTGCTATGGCAGCCCAAGCAGACTAGTAGAGTGTTGCAACTCATACATGCTATTTTCCTTCCCAGAAAGAAATTAATCTATTTCATCTCATTCCTTGGCTATTAGACTAAGAAAACACACACACACACACACATACACACACACACACACACACATAAACACACACATGTGCCTGTTTCCAATTTTTCTTTATCAGTTAAATCACTGTTTAATTCCACTTTGGATACTATTTTTATATCATCCTTGTATGGGCTTTTTCATAACCTATGTCTTGGGATTTCCAATTTCATGTTCTTAAAACTGTATGAGTGACTCTTCCTTATCTAATTTTCCCAAAGCAGACCTACATCTTTTGCCAACAGTGCCAAATATCTCCAGAGAAACCTCTTACAAAATCCCTTTGACTCAGGCACAATGCCCTTTAGGCTACTCAGAGACTTTCTGAAATCCACAGGTTATTTGCTTGTGTTACTCCCTGTGATTTATTGTATAGTAGGACTTTACAAGATAGTTGCTAAATCAATGAGTAGAAAAGGTGTATACTTCTTCACCCCTGTTTTGCTGCTTAGGTGCTTGAGATGATGGGCTGAGTCTACCTGACTCTGACCATACACTTGCCTTGTTTATGATGCTCATCCCCTTGAGACCTCAAGAGCTGACCTTGAGACTTTGCATAGTGGCTTGAGACAGTGGAACTAACTGGCTAACCAAGAACCAAGAGGTTTTTTTGGCCAGAGTTTAGGACAGAAGTCCCTACAGCAGGGCTCTAGAGACTGCATACTCAAATCTAAAAAATCTGTTAGTAGGATACTTGCATATTAGATGTCCATTCACCAAGTTGTCTGAGAACATTTTCTGCAAATGTGGCAGACAGTGACAAAGATTTCAAAAGTTTGTACAGCTATGGAGAAGATTATAGACACCTTAGGAACACCCTTCTCCCATATTACCAGTCATAGAGTAATCTGTTGGCCAGTCTTAGGAGAGAGATTAACAAACCTCTAAATCGACACGTTTAACGGTACAGATCCAATGCCAAGTATATCAAATTAAGACCCAAGATCTTGTTATAAGTGATTGTGTCTATCGCTCTGTGTGTGTGTGTATGTGTGTGTGTGTATGTGTGTGTGTGCACGTACTTGGCTTTGTTTTTCTATACAGCTATCATTCATTGACGAATGAGGAACTCAGTAAAACACAGAAGTACTCTAAGTGTTTAAGAATGTGAAGGGCAAACTCCCTACTTCTCTCTCTATTAATAAAGTGGTTTCATTTGTTTCACTAGTTTGAAGTCTATGGTTTACCAGTAATATTACCAATAAAAATTTTCAAGCAGCTGTCACAAAAAATATGACCTTCCACCACAGCTTCTGATGCTAGTGCTTAAAAGTTATGAACCCATGAATGGAACACTGTGTGTGTTCAACTTCTGGGTTGGTTGGATTTAGGTAATGAGAATCCAGAAATCTTTCATTGTTATAGGAAGACATTCATTTGGATATAAACATACAATAGACTACATCACTTTAATGACATGATGACCTCTTTCTAGCATATACAGAGCAGGGGAAATCAGAAACTAATATGACATGTCCTATGATATTAAAGAAGGAGAGATGAAGTTAAAGAAAAGGCACAATTGAGTCAAAATACAGTGTCATGCATGAGAATACAGGTTTCTTCTATGGATGAAAAAGCAGAAGATAAGAACAGGGAAAAGTTAATCAGGTCACTGCATAGGTATACAGCCATTTCTGGTTATGCAAGGTTCTGCCATGAGTTTGTGCGAAAAATGAAGCAGCTCCACTTACGCATATATATCTGCAACATAATGAGTATGGAGAGAGAAGAACCAGCTGCAATAGAAAACATCACTCACTTATTGAACCAACAAATATTTATCATGTACTTTTTAGATGTCAATTTCTGTTGTGTTGTTCAATATGGTAGCCATGACCTGTGTTGTCCAATATGGTAGCCATCAGCCAAGTGTGGTTATTAAAATTAAATTAAAAATCCAGTTTCTCAGTATTACTAACTGCATTTCAAGTGCTCAATTGGCACATGTAGCTAATGCTGCCTTATTGGAAAGCACATACATAGAACATTATGATCATTGCAGACTTCTATTGGACAGTCCTAGTCTCCAAATAGGGATACAGCAGTGACCATATCATAGTTTCTTTCTCCACAGAGCTTACACTATCATTGAGGAAACAAAATAAACAAGAAAGTTTAATATTTGATGGTGGTAAATCCTGTGGTCAAGGAGTATATGATATGCCATGGAGGATGGTTGGGGGTCAGGGAGAGATGTGTTACTTTACAAAGAAAAATCAGGGAAGGCCTCTCTGATACAGTGACACTTGAGCCAATCCTTCAAGAAGTGGGGTCACCCCACAGAATATCTTGGGGAGGAATAGGCAGGAACAATAAGTACAAGGGCCATGATAAAATAATGCAGTACTGGGAGCACCAGCTTTAGCTTTCCCAAATGCTTGAAACTCTTTAATCTTTGTACAGTGATAACTCTTAAGACAAGAGGCACAGGACTTTCTCAAAGGTAGGAAAGATCTGCTTGCATATATCTCAAAATATTTAGCAATGTGGAATAGAAATAGGGATGATACGAAAGGTTTTGCTTGCATGTAACTGCAATAATAACTTAGTCAACTTTTATTGCTCTCAGATAAGTAGATTTTACAAGGAAGGTGTGGTAACAACCACACTGCCCAGAGAATTGCCTACTGGGGTACACCTCACATGTCTCTAAAACAATTGCTCCATCCTTATTGTAGGGTCTTGTATTCAGAGCATATCCCTGAGTTTATTTGTGCATTGCATATATTTCTATATGATAAGCCTATAAAATAGAGCATCCCAGCCAGATCAAAAGAAATGTAGTTGAGTAAACTAATGGTAGCTCAAAATCTGATGGAATCTCAGGAACTAAGGTAATTAAACTATGTGGGGAATAAGTCTTGAGCTCTCGGCATTATCAAGAGCTTGGGAACTCAGATCAGAAGATACAATTAGCTGCCTTTGCAAACACATTGTTAGAAGGCAAAGAATAATAGACTTAAATCAGTTTTGTATTCTGAATTACAATCTTGCTCTTACATTAATGGACCAATAACCATGTCAAAGTCATAGATGATTCTGAGATTAAATACTATGAGGTTTAAAAAAATCTTCATGCTCTCAGTAATGCCATGGATCAGATACTAATGATACAAGGTCACATTAAGAAAGGGCAATTGGAAGGCACCTGTTTGCTAATAAAGACCTATTGAAGTCATAAGCAATCAAGACAGACTTTGATTCTGAACATAAACAGCAAACAGAATATTTCATAGTGGAGGTAAAAAATTGAGTCTAGTTTCCAAAACAGCAAAAGTCAAGATTACTGCCAGAGCATCCTGTGTTGGTGATGCAATCCCTGAGTGGGCAAGAATGACCTCATTATGTGGTATATTTTGGGCATTGTTCAGAGCCTCGTTCCCCCATCCACCCAAAGATTCTGTGAGCTACTTAGAATTCCTTAGTCAATTACATTTCCACTTGTGTTAGCTAGAGTTGATTTCTGTTGTTTTCAATAAAGATCCTTGACTGACATTTTGCTCTCATATAGTCAGAGGATTCATCACTTCCAATAGATACTGAACAGATCAGTGATGGAAGGAAATGGTTCGAGCTAAAATTTAAAGGAAAACAACTCTCTTGAGAAAATCATGGTTACTATTTTCCTCCAATTGTGTTGGGTTTTAAAATTTTGAATGGGAAAAACTTTTAAAAGGGGCCTGTAGAGACATAATGGCAAGTTATGGTGAAAAGATTAATAGTAGTATCTCCTTTTTGTTTTTACCAAGTGCCTTTATTCTTTTAGTCATGTAACATATTAAAATGTGAAGAATTTTATTGTATATTCACATTCTTATTCATCCTGAAACTCCTGCCAATGTTGTATAATAAATGCTTTGTTTTAGGTTTGAGCATGAGTAGAGTTCAGAGTCTTATGTATACTGGGAACACAAGATGCCAATGTACTTAAAGCTTTTATAATATAATTTAAGGGAAGTCTAGTAAATTCTTGATCTTTACATCATTAGTCATTTACAAGGGAGCTTGAATCAGATGACAATACCTTTCTCTAAGGAGCTACAAGAACTTGGCAGGTATTAACTTATTCATGTTCTCACTGATTTTAGTGTGATATTACCATACTCATTTTAACATCAGTGTAACTAAAGGACAGGAAAATGAAACATTAGTGTGAAGTCACACTTACACATACTGCCAGAAATCATGTCTACTCTTAAAGCTTATAAGGAAAAGAACAACTAAAAAATTAATCTCTTCTTTAATGTCCTCCTCATTATGAGTGTGCATAATGGTAAGAATGAAAATTGTATGCTTTGAAAACTTGAATTTTATTCTACTAAATTTTTATCTTGATGACTGAATTACAAGTGTAATGCCCAGTTTTATATGTCAACTTGACTGGGCTAAGCGATAGCTGGTAAAACATTATTTCTGGGTGTGTCTGCAAGGATGTTTCTGGAAGACATTAGCCTTTGATTAAGTAAACCAAGTAAAGAAGATCCTCCCTCAGTGGGCATAATCCAACCAGTGAGAGACCCAATAAAGCAAAAAGTCAGTGGAAGGGAAACTTCTCTCCCTCTTTTTGAGCTGGGCCATCCATCTTCTCCTGCACTTGAGTTCCTGGTTTGCAGGCCTTTAGGCTTGAACTTAAATGCGCTGTAAGTTTTCCTGTTTCTCCAGCTTGCAGAATATCTTGGGACCTCTTGGCCTCCACAATCACATGAGCCAATTTCCATAACAAATATCCTCTTATATGTATCTCTTTATATCCTGTCGGTTCTGTTTCTCTGGAGAACTCTGATAATACAATGAGACTCTTCAGAACATGTCAATCTCACAGTTAATTTTAAGTTTTTGAGGGTTTAAGTAGGTCCCTTGAGATTTCAGCACCCCAGCATTTTTTGTCACTGAAATCATGAAAATTCTGACTAGGCCTTTGCTTGCCTGCACAAAAGCCAACATCCCTTGTTCCCACAAACTAAAAAATTACAAACTGCTGATGCACTATTTCTTTGTCAAGCAGGAGGAGATAGCTTCAGGGTCACAAGAAAATTTTGCAGAAGGAATGAATGTCTTTATGCCTTTAAGGACATTGCAATCAAACTGCTGACGCCCAGAAGTCTGGTTGTTCAAGATGTTATCTGAGACTGAAGAAACACAGATTTTTCCCTTGGTTCCTGGCAACTCCCCCTCTCTTATTCTCTAGCTGCATAAAAACTCCCTGCTGATTTTTGTTGTTATTGTTGTTAAGATGGATTTGAGAGTTCTTGCCCTCCTGCCCTCTCACTTTGGCCAAATCCAATGAACCTTTCACATCTCCAACCACCTGTGTGTCGGTATTTGGTGTCAACTGCACATCAGGTACATAAGCCTCAACTTGGGCTTCTATAACAAAGTCACAAACTATTACTGCATTTATTCATCATCTTCTCCCATAATCTACCTTTCCATCATCCATGAAGACTAGAACTCAATAGATAGTCCAATAAGGTCCAGAGGTTCTGATTTGGTTCCCTGTCTTCTTGCTTATTCTAATAGATGATGCAACTAGTGCACAAAGCTAAATGTCTTCTTTAAGCTTGCATAAAATGCGTGGCTCAGTGATTGGCATGCTGTTCTCCGCGCCCCCCCTTACATCCACAACCAATTCTAACCAGTTAATTCTTCATTTTATTTTAATGACCTATCCCAGATAAAAAGCTAAAGACACCCCATTCAGCACCATATAAGAATTAAAATGAAAAGGAAAATACTTGTTTATTTGTTTTTTAAGGCCCTAATGCTTTGATGAAAAGCTGCAGCAAACAAAAAATTCAGCATGAAATTTCAGGTGGGTGATGTGTGTGATTGAAGGGGTTGGGCTGCAGGAAGAAAAGTGAAGAGAATACTGAAGGAAAGTGGATGATAGTAGTAGCAGTTTAGAGCTAAGATCTCTTCTGACAATTTTTCTCACTGTCAGAAGTCAACAGAGTGTCCTGAATAAGTAATACAAGGTTATTCCAACAATTTTAGTTTGAAACTCAAGGCGAAGCAAAGAGAGCTGCCTTGTGTCTAGAGTTTGGCTGGAGGGTCCTCAGAGTCTACTAAACGTGACAGCCAGCCAAATCCCCTGTATCAGAGGAAGGCAGAAGCAATAGACCAGAAACAAAACCCTATGGTCCAAGGTTTGAGAAACATGCCCAGTAGTTTTGTGCCAGGGAGAGTGGAGAAGGGAAGGACAAAACAGTAGTTTGCACATTCAACACATTTTACAGGCAGACATCAAAATTAGTCATTACCCTATAAATGGAACATCTTTGCATTAAGTGAAGCTCGTGGTTTGTTAGACTTTTTTTCCTCTCTCTGTTTTTTTTTTTTTGTTTTTTTCCAATTTTGGTACTTAATAAAATTCTGCTACATTTACACTACAACAAACAAAGGAGTGAATTAACCTTTCACAGTTTCACAGAGCTTATATTTGGAATATTAGTAATTTTCTTTTCTTCAGAGATGGCCAATATGTAATCCAAAAGAATGGGTGGTGGAAAGTTGAAAGAACTCAATTGTGATGTGCAGATGACCTGAGGAGTTTAAGGAATTTCAGTGCATGTGTTACTGCTAAGGAGATAAAGAAAGGTCATGTCAATTAAAGTATTTTTAAGACCCTTTTTACCATGCAGCTGTTGATCTTCTGATGTAGTTACATTTCCTAATTGTCCCAAATAGCCTCTGGGTTTCACTGAATATCAACAGAAGGATCTCATTTATCACTCCCTAATCCAAACCATAATTCATGTTTTCAGTTTTTCACCCTTTTCCTAGACTCATCTTCTTGGACAAAGGACTTCTCCCCTTGAGGCTATTCCATCTAGTGATCACTCCCTACATCACTTACGATCTTTTATAATCAATCATATCAACAATGGGGAAGTCACTCATCACTAGGTTCTTTATGTTTCCATCATGATTGTCCATGGGAACTTAATGCCTGTTCTAAGGCTATGCAGGTCAACATCAGCGACTTGTTCTTTGGAAGGCCATATAGCCATTTTGAAATGGAATAATTTGGCAACTCTTGCCCAAAGAATCACATCCTAGTAATTAGAAAGAGGTATAGACATACCTAATATTTAAACCTACAGAGATACCTCTGGATGCAAGGTCAGTTCTCTATTTCTTAAACTGTTTTACTCATCCCTCTCCCCTACTTTTTTTTCAACTGCATAGATGTCTTGTTTTCTCTACAGAGACACAATGAGTCCAGTCAGTTCACCTCAAATATTTCTCAATTTACTCCCATTAAATATGGAAGTATGTGGGCTTTTCCTGTGGGATAATAAATGCACTTGAAAATACTTCATGTCTAATCCTGAATTGAGACTGCAGGGCAATGTGGAAAAAGCATGTCCTTTAGATCTTGTTTGAATCTTTGCTCTGCTAGTTACTACCTACACAGCTAAGGACAAGATCTTCACTTTTCCAAGCCTCAGTGTCTTTAATATAAAGATGATAATACTCAATTTTTAGAGTAGTGAGAATTCTGTGAGATAATGTATACAGAGCACTTATCCCATATTTTTTAAGTTTAAAAGTTTATTGTTATTTTTGTAAAACTGATACATTTTCAGAGTACTTTCTTTATGTGGTATTCTAAAATATTAAGTTTCCAAGAGCCCAACATCTAATTAAAGGGATAGCAGTCATGTAATAATACAAATTATTGTACAAATGTACAGAGTTCGGTTCAATTATTGATCAACTCAGGTCTACAATGTTTGAAAATTAAATAATTCTAACTGTGCAAACTGACGTTCAATTTTTTTTAGTAACAGCAAAATTGTAAATTTTAAATAATGGATTAGCACCATCACATTTCTTTACTCAAGAAATTTCACGAGGAAGTATGTATTACTGACAGCGTTTTCAGAAAATATACAGAGCCCCTGACTTACAATGGTTTAAGTTTTTTTTCTTTTTGCTGGGCTTTTCAGGGTAATAAATACATTATCGGTTTATAATATTTGTGACTTAGGATTGTCAGATATGACACCATCATAGTCAAGAAGCATCTGTATAAAGAAACATCTTTTTCCTTGTAGTTTTAAAGTGTCTTATGTTGGCACCAGGCTAGATGGCTGTGGCTTCAGAATAATTTTTTAATCTTCCCAAACCCTCCCATTAAAAACAAAGCAACCAAGATAACAAGACATAGAATAAACAAACAAACAAAAACCAAAAAAGCCCACTAGCAAAATAATAAAAATTGAAGTGGAAATTAATAAAATATAAAAATAACAGAGAAAACAGTAAAACCAAAGTTTGCTTATCAAGAAGATCAATAAAATTGACAGACTTTAAGTAGACTAATAAGGAAAATAAAGAAAATTCATATTAAGAAAATTAGGAATGAAAAAGTGTACATTACAATTGACATTACAGAACTAAAAAGAATTACAAGGAATACTATAAACAATTATATGCCAACAATTAGACAAAAACACAAAATGGATACATTACTAGAAAGATACAAACTACCAAAGTGACTCAAAAAGAAACAGAATATATGAATAGACCTATATAAGTAAAGAGAATGAATTAATAATAAAATATTTTTTACTGCAAAGAAAATCCCAGGCCCAGATAGATAGCTTCACTGGCTAATTTTATCAATCATTTAAATAAAAATTGTGACCAATACTTCACAAACTCTTCCAAAAATAGATGAGAGTAGAACCTTTCCTACTCATTCTATGAGGTCAGTATTTTCATGATAGAAAAATCAGATACCACAAGAAAACAAACAATTACAGATCAGTATCCTTTATGAATAAATACAGAAAAATACTCAAAAAAAATAGGAAACCAAATCCAGAAACAATAAAACATGTTATACACCATGACCAACTGGGATTTATCTCAGAAATGCAAGGTTGTTTTAACATTAAAAAATCAACTAACTTAATATATTAATAGAAAACAGGGCAAAAACACATAATCACCTCTATAAACAAAAGATACATATTTGACAAAATCTCACACCCTTTCATGATAAAACACTCAACAAACTAGAATTAAAAGGAAATTTTCTCGATGTGGTAAAGCGATCTATGAAAACCACAAGGGAACATCATACTTAATGGCGAATGACTAAATACTTTCCCTGTAAGATTAGGAAAAAGATGTCTACTCTCACTACTTCTATTCAATTGTTGTACTGAAGGTTCTAGCTAGGGAAATTAGGCAGGTAAAAGTTAAAAGATAACAGATTAGAAAGGAAGAAGTTAAATTATCTCTATTTGTAGATGATATGGTCTTGTACATAGAAAATCCTAAGGAATCTACTTTTTTAAAAGAAACCATTAGAACAAATAAGTGACTTCAGCAATATTGCAAGAGGATGCAATATCAATATACCAAAAGCAATGTAAATATATAAAAATGAAATTAAGAAACAATTCCATTCACAAAAGCATCAAATTGAATAAATACTTAAGAATAAGTTTTACAAAATAAATGCAAGACTTGTACATTCAGAACTACAAACGTGGTTGAAAGAAATTTAAAAAAAGAATAAGAAATTGCATGTTGACAGATTAGAGGATTTAATATTGTTAAGATGGTGATACTTCCCAACTAGATCTATACATATATCAAATTACCAGCTTACCTTTTAACAAAAGTTGATAAGCTGACCCTAAAATTGATGAAAATGCGTAAAAGCCAAAATAGTCTTTAAAAAATATAACCAAGTTGAAGGACTCACACATTCCAACTTCAAATCTTTCTACAAAGCCACAGCAATCAAGACAGATAAACATATAGATCATGTAGACAGACATACGTCAATATAGCAAAATTGAGAGTCCAAAAATAAACCCTTGCCCTGACGGTAAATTGATTTTTTTATTATTATTATTATTATACTTTTCGTTTTAGGGTACATGTGCACAATGTGCAGGTTAGTTACATATGTATACATGTGCCATGCTGGTGTGCTGCACCCATTAACTCATCATTTAGCATTAGGTATATCTCCTAATGCTATCCCTCCGCCCTCCCCCCACCCCACAACAGTCCCCAGAGTGTGTTGTTCCCCTTCCTGTGTCCATGTGTTCTCATTGTTCAATTCCCACCTATGAGTGAGAATATGCGGTGTATGGTTTTTGTTCTTGCGATAGTTTACTGAGAATGATGATTTCCAATTTCATCCATGTCCCTACAAAGGACATGAACTTATCCTTTTTTATGGCTGCATAGTATTCCATGGTGTATATGTGCCACATTTTCTTAATCCAGTCTATCATTGTTGGACATTTGGGTTGTTCCAAGTCTTTGCAATTGTGAATAGTGCCACAATAAACATATGTGTGCATGTGTCTTTATAGCAGCATGATTTATAGTCCTTTGGGTATATACCCAGTAATGGGATGGCTGGGTCAAATGGTATTTCTAGTTCTAGATCCCTGAGGAATCGCCACACTGACTTCTACAGTGGTTGAACTAGTTTACAGTTCCACCAACAGTGTAAAAGTGTTCCTATTTCTCCACATCCTCTCCAGCACCTGTTGTTTCCTGACTTTTTAATGATTGCTATTCTAACTGGTGTGAGATGGTATCTCACTGTGGTTTTGATTTGCATTTCTCTGATGGCCAGTGATGGTGAGCATTTTTTCATGTGTTTTTTGGCTGCATAAATGTCTTCTTTTGAGAAGTGTCTGTTCATGTCATTCGCCCACTTTTTGATGGGGTCGTTTGTTTTTTTCTTGTAAATTTGTTTGAGTTCATTGTAGATTCTGGATATTAGCCCTTTGTCAGATGAGTAGGTTGCCAAAATTTTCTCCCATTCTGTAGGTTGCCTGTTCACTCTGATGGTAGTTTCTTTTGCTGTGCAGAAGCTCTTTAGTTTAATTAGATCCCATTTGTCAATTTTGTCTTTTGTTGCCATTGCTTTTGGTGTTTTAGACATGAAGTCCTTGCCCATGCCTATGTCCTGAATGGTAATGCCTAGGTTTTCTCCTAGGGTTTTTACGGTTTTAGGTCTAACGTTTAAGTCTTTAATCTATCTTAAATGAATTTTTGTATAAGGTATAAGGAAGGGATCCACTTTCAGCTTTCTACATATGGCTAGCCAGTTTTCCCAGCACCATTTATTAAATAGGGAATCCTTTCTCCATTGCTTGTTTTTCTCAGGTTTGTCAAAGATCAGATAGTTGCAGATACACGGTGTTATTTCTGAGGGCTCTGTTCTGTTCCATTGATCTATATCTGTGTTTTGGTACCAGTACCATGCTGTTTTGGTTACTGTAGCCTTGTAGTATAGTTTGAAGTCAGGTAGCGTGATGCCTCTGGCTTTGTTCTTTTGGCTTAGGATTGACTTGGCGATGTGGGCTCTTTTTTGGTTCCATATGAACTTGAAAGTATTTTTTTCCAATTCTGTGAAGAAAGTCATTGGTAGCTTGATGAGGATGGCATTGAATCTATAGATTACCTTGGGCAGTATGGCCATTTTCATGATATTGATTCTTCCTACCCATGAGCATGGAATGTTCTTCCATTTGTTTGTATCCTCTTTTATTTCCTTGAGCAGTGGTTTGTAGTTCTCCTTGAAGAGGTCCTTCACATCCCTTCTAAGTTGGATTCCTAAGTATTTTATTCTCTTTGAAGCAATTGTGAATGGGAGTTCACTCATGATTTGGCTCTCTGTTTGTCTGTTATTGGTGTATAGGAATGCTTGTGATTTTTGCACATTGATTTTGTATCCTGAGACTTTGCTGAAATTGCTTATCAGCTTAAGGAGATTTTGGGCTGAGACAATGGGGTTTTCTAGATATGCAATCATGTCGTCTGCAAACAGGGACAATTTGACTTCCTCTTTTCCTGATTGAATACCCTTTATTTCCTTCTCCTGCCTAATTGCCCTGGCCAGAATTCCCAACACTATGTTGAATAGGAGTGGTAAGAGAGGGCATCCCTGTCTTGTGCCAGTTTTCAAAGGGAATGCTTCCAGTTTTTGCCCATTCAGTATGATATTGGCTGTGGGTTTGTCATAGATAGCTCTTATTATTTTGAGATACGTCCCATCAATACCTAATTTATTGAGAGTTTTTAGCATGAAGGTTGTTGAATTTTGTCAAAGGCCTTTTCTGCATCTATTGAGATAATCGTGGTTTTTGTCTTTGGTTCTGTTTATATGCTGGATTACATTTATTGATTTGCATATATTGAACCAGCCTTGCATCCCAGGGATGAAGCCCACTTGATCATGGTGCATAAGCTTTTTGATGTACTGCTGGATTCGGTTTACCAGTATTTTATTGAGGATTTTTGCATCAATGTTTATCAAAGATATTGGTCTAAAATTCTCTTTTTTTGTTGTGTCTCTGCCCGGCTTTGGTATCAGAATGATGCTGGCCTCATAAAATGTGTTAGGGAGGATTCACTCTTTTTCTATTGATTGAAAGAGTTTCAGAAGGAGTGGTACCAGTTCCTCCTTGTACCTCTGGTAGAATTCGGCTGTGAATCCATCTGGTCCTGGACTTTTTTTGGTTGCTAAGCTATTGATTATTGCCACAATTTCAGAGCCTGTTATTGGTCTATTCAGAGATTCAACTTCTTCCTGGTTTAGTCTTGGGAGGGTGTATGTGTCGAGGAATTTATCCATTTCTTCTAGATTTTCTAGTTTATTTGTGTAGAGGTGTTTGTAGTATTCTCTGATGGTAGTTTGTATTTCTGTGGGATCATTGGTGATATCCCCTTTATCATTTTTTATTGCGTCTATTTGATTCTTCTCTCTTTTCTTCTTTATTAGTCTAGCTAGCAGTCTATCAATTTTGTTGATCCTTTCAAAAAACCAGCTCCTGTATTCATTAATTTTTTGAAGGGTTTTTTGTGTCTCTATTTCCTTCAGTTCTGCTCTGATCTTAGTTATTTCTTGCCTTCTGCTAGCTTTTGAATGTGTTTGCTCTTGCTTTACTAGTTCTTTTAATTGTGATGTCAGGGTGTCAATTTTGGATCTTTCCTGCTTTCTCTTGTGGGCATTTAGTGCTATAAATTTCCCTCTACACACTGCTTTGAATGTGTCCCAGAGATTCTGGTATGTTGTGTCTCTGTTCTCATTGGTTTCAAAGAACATCTTTATTTCTGCCTTCATTTTGTTATGTACCCAGTAGACATTCAGGAGCAGGTTGTTCAGTTTCCACGTAGCTGAGTGTTTTGAGTGAGTTTCTTAATCCTGAGTTCTAGTTTGATTGCACTCTGTTCTGAGAGACAGTTTGTTATAATTTCTGATCTTTTACATTTGCTGAGGAGAGCTTTACTTCCAAGTATGTGGTCAGTTTTGGAACAGGTGTGGTGTGGTGCTGAAAAAAATGTATATTCTGTTGATTAGGGGTGGAGAGCTCTGTTGATGTCAATTAGGTCTGCTTGGTGCAGAGCTGAGTTCAATTCCTGGGTATCCTTGTTAACTTTCTGTCTCGTTGATCTGTCTAATGTTGACAGTGGGGTGTGAAAGTCTCCCATTATTATTGTGTGGGAGTCTAAGTCTCTTTGTAGGTCTCTAAGGACTTGCTTTATGAATCTGGGTGCTCCTGTATTGGGTGCATATCTATTTAGGATAGTTAGCTCTTCTTGTTGAATTGATCCCTTTACCATTATGTAATGGCCTTCTTTGTCTCTTTTGATCTTTGTTGGTTTAAAGTCTGTTTTATCAGAGACTAGGATTGCAACCCCTGCCTTTTTTTGTTTTCCATTTGCTTGGTAGATCTTCCTCCATCCTTTTATTTTGAGCCTATGTGTGTCTCTGCACATGAGATGGGTTTCCTGACTACAGCACACTGATGGGTCTTGACTCTTTATCCAATTTACCAGTCTGTGTCTTTTAATTGGAGCATTTAGTCCATTTACATTTAAGGTTAATTTATTGTTATGTGTGAATTTGATCCTGTCATTATGATGTTAGCTGGTTATTTTGCTTGTTAGTTGATGCAGTTTCTTCCTAGCCTCGATGGTCTTTACAATTTGGCATGATTTTGCAGTGGTTGGTACTGGTTGTTCCTTTCCATGTTTAATGCTTCCTTCAGGAGCTCTTCTAGGGCAAGCCTGGTGGTGACAAAATCTCTCAGCATTTGCTTGTCTGTAAAGTATTTTATTTCTCCTTCACTTATGAAGCTTAGTTTGGCTGGATATAAAATTCTGGGTTGAAAATTCTTTTCTTTAAGAATGTTGAATATTGGCCCCCACTCTCTTCTGGCTTGTAGTTTCTGCTAAGAGATCCACTGTTAGTCTGATGGGCTTCCCTTTGTGGGTAACCCAACCTTTCTCTCTGGCTGCCCTTAACATTTTTTCCTTCATTTCAACTTTGGTGAATCTGACAATTATGTGTCTTGGAGTTGCTGTTCTCGAGTAGTATCTTTGTGGCGTTCTCTGTATTTCCTGAATCTGAATGTTGGCCTGCATTGCTAGATTGGGGAAGTTCCCCTGTATAATATCCTGCAGAGTGTTTTCCAACTTGGTTCCATTCTCCCCGTCACTTTCAGGTACGCCAATCAAACGTAGATTTGGTCTTTTCACATAGTCCCATATTTCTTGGAGGCTTTGTTTGTTTCTTTTTATTCTTTTTTCTCTAAACTTCCCCTCTCGCTTCATTTCATTCATTTCATCTTCCATCACTGATACCCTTTCTTCCAGTTGATTGCCTCAGCTCCTGAGGCTTCTGCATTCTTCACGTAGTTCTCGAGCCTTGGCTTTCAGCTCCATCAGCTCCTTTAAGCACTTCTCTGTATTGGTTATTCTAGTTATACATTCATCTAAATTTTTTTCAAAGTTTTCAACTTCTTTGCCTTTGGTTTGAATTTCCTCCTGTAGCTCAGAGTAGTTTGATCGTCTGAAGCCTTCCTCTCTCAGCTTGTCAAAGTCATTCTCCATCCAGCTTTGTTCCGTTGCTGGTGAGGAGCTGCGTTCCTTTGGAGGAGCAGAGGCACTCTGCTTTTTAGAGTTTCCAGTTTTTCTGCCCTGTTTTTTCCCCATCTTTGTGGTTTTATCTACTCTTGGTCTTTGATGTTGGTGATGTACAGATGGGTTTTTGGTGTGGATGTCCTTTCTGTTTGTTAGTTTTCCTTCTATCAGACAGGACCCTCAGCTGCAGGTCTGTTGGAGTTTGCTAGAGGTCCACTCCAGACCCTGTTTGCCTGGGTACCAGCAGCGGTGGCGCAGAACAGTGGATTTTCGTGAACCGCGAGTGCTGCTGTATGACCGTTCCTCTGGAAGTTTTGTCTTAGAGGAGTATCTGGCCGTGTGAGGTGTCAGTCTGCCCCTACTGGGGGGTGCCTCCCAGTTAGGCTGTTCAGGGGTCAGGGGTCAGGGGTCAGGGACCCACTTGAGGAGGCAGTCTAGTCTGCCCGTTCTCAGATCTCCAGCTGCGTGCTGGGAGAACCACTGTTCTCTTCAAAGCTGTCAGACAGGGATATTTAAATCTGCAGAGGTTACTGCTGTCTTTTTGTTTGTCTGTGCCCTGCCCCCAGAGGTGGAGCCTGCAGAGGCAGGCAGGCCTTCTTGAGCTGTGGTGGGCTCCACCCAGTTCGAACTTCCCAGCTGCTTTGTTTACCTAAGCAAGCCTGGGCAATGGTGGGCACCCCTCCCCCAGCCTGGCTGCCGCCTTGCAGTTTGATCTCAGACTGCTGTGCTAGCAATCAGCGAGATTCTGTGGGCATAGGACCCTCTGAACCATGTGCGGGATATAATCTCCTGGTGTGCCGTTTTTTAAGCCCGTCGGAAAAGCGCATTATTGGGGTGGGAGTGACCCGATTTTACAGGTGCTGTCTGTCACCCCTTTCTTTGACTAGGAAAGGGAACTCCCTGTCCCCTTGTGCTTCCTGAGTGAGGCAGTGCCTCGCCCTGCTTTGGCTCACGCACAGTGCGCTGCACCCACTGTCCTGCACCCACTGTCTGGCACTCCCTAGTGAGATGAACCCAGTACCTCAGATGGAAATGCAGAAATCACCCATCTTCTGCATCACTCATGCTGGGAGCTGTAGACCAGAGCTGTTCCTATTCGGCCATCTTGGCTTGACCTCCCGGTAAATTGATTTTTGATAAGGGTGTGACGACAATTTAATGGAGAAATTTTTTTAGCAAGTAATACTGGAAACATTGAGTATCACAAAAATTAAGCTGGAAGTCTTCCTTACATGTATACAAATACATTTTTAACTCAGAAATGTATCATGCACCTAAATGTAAGACCTAAAACTTAGGAAAAAACACAAGAGTAAGTCTGGGTTACTTTGGATTAAGCTAAACTGTAGGTATGACACTGAAAGCATAGGTGATAGAACAAAAAAATAAATAAATTGGACTTCATCAAAATTAAAAACTTTTGTGCTTTAAAGGGTACCATCAGGAGAGCAAAAATACCACCCACAGAGTAGCAGGGGATATTTGAAAATCATCTGATAAGAGATCTGTATTCAAAATACATATTTTAAAATCTTGTATCTCAGAAATAAAAAGGCAATTTATTTGAACAATTAGTAAAGGAATTGAATGGATTTTTCTCAATATAAGACATATAAATGATCAGTAACACATAAATAAAAGTTCAACATCATTAGTCTTTAGGAAAGTTCAAATAAAAACCACATGAAATATTGTTTCATACATCATTATGTCTATCCTCAAAGAGACAAGCAATAACAAGTATTGGCAAAGATGTGGAGAAACTGAAGCCCTGACCCACTGCTGGAATTGTATATGAAATTGTGTGGTTTCTTTAGAAACAGTTGGCAATCTCTTAAAATGTTAAACATGGGCCAAGTGCAGTGGCTCAAGTCTGTAATTCCAGCACTTTGGAAGGCGGAGACAGGGGGATTGTTTAAGGCCAGGAGTTTGAGACCAGCCTGGGCAACACAGTGAGACCCTCTCTCTACAAAAAAAAAAAAAAAGAAAAAATTGAAAAAACCAAATTAGCCAGGCATGGTGATCCATGCCTGTGGTGCTAGCTAGTAGGGAAGCTGGGGTGTGAGGGTCACTTGAGCCCAGGAGTTTAAGGTTACAGCGAGCTATGATTGCACCATTGCATTTCAGCTTGAGTGACAAAGTGAAACCCTGTCTCAAAAAAAAAAAATTACTATATGGCCCAGTACTTCCACTTCTACATGACAGAATATGTCTCAAATGCAAAAATGCAGGGACAGGCCAAAGTGCAACTCCTGAAAGACACATGACGTAGCAGCAACCATGTGGGAGGACATAAAGAGAAGCAAAGAGATTTCCAATGGTGCAGAGAGTTAGAGACTCCATGAAATGAATCATCAACAAGTACTCATTCCCAAATAGGAAATTCTCCCATCTGCATGCAAAGTTCAGTGGGCCAATTGGGAACAGCAACAGAGACTGGAAGAGGCCAAAGCAGGTGCCAATTCACAGGTGAACGAAGGAGACATTGAAAAGTGTAGTCAGTACATGGCAGTCTGGGCCCTGTAAACTCTAGAAGTCAATCTACTTAGCTGGTTTCCAGCACTCAGTTCATGCCAAAAAGAAATCAATGAAAAGCAGCTAAATTGAGAAGAAAGGGGGCACTGGGGCAAAGAAAAAAGAAATTCCTTTTCTTTTGAAAGTAGGGAGGGGGCAGACAACACAGATCTCAGAGTGCACAAGGCATATTATTAAATATCTAGTGTTTATAAAAGAGGGTGAATCCCTAAAGGTATGAAGCTAGCAAACATATCCTAAGCCATACCTCCTCTACTAAGAGAATAGTGGTTCTCTTAGCACAACCAGTGGTTGTGCCAGCCAAGCGCATATTAACACTCAGTTTCAAATTCATCCTTCTATACTCTGCTCTGTGCTCGGGAGCTGGTACTCTGCAAACTATTTGCTAATTGGCATCCTGTTAGGTTCTGTCAATAGTAGGAGATACTCGAGCAGAACTTAAAGGCAGAGAAAAGGAGAATGATTTCTTCCTTTCCTGTTTTCACACTGTTCATACAATAATGCCCATAGCAGCAGTGGTTTGTTGCAGTCTCTATCTGCCTTGAGCACTCCAGAACTGCGCTATTCTCCCCTTCACTGTAATTCTTGGCAGTTGAAAAGGCCTCCTGATCAGATATTCTGAGTTAATCTACATGAGGTCTTCATCTAAGCTTTGGATGTTTTAATAAACCCAACTTCTTCCCTGCACTTCTCCAGGCCTAAATGTAATAGCTGTGTCCACAGCTATAATCACCATATTACCATAGTGTTCTCTGTTTATTCAATCAGACACTCAGCACTTGTTTAATCAATTTATGTATTAAGTTCCCTGTATTACAATATCTAGTTTGGTTGTTGTGTTCCTGTAGAGACCCTGAGAAGGCTCTTTGGTTGATTGGTGCTGTTTTTGAATGCAGGCTAGATTTATGGCAGTTGTGAAATAGAATCTGAGTAATTCACAACATCCAGTGGCATCATATCAATTAAACTGTAAGCTGTTGTTGTTTCTGACAATGTGGCTATTGGAGTAAATATCTTGGCAGATCAAATGGTGGTTGCCCTTTACAATTGCAAAGTAGTGGGAATGATAAGACCTATGGGGAAGAATGGCTGCTGCTTCTTGCCTTAGAGAGTTTTACAAAAAGAAGGTGGCAAGTTTGAGACTTTAAACTCTTCATTTAAGTCATAGTAAAAGAAACAAAGAGTTTCTATTCTATGACAAATCTAAAGGAATCGCTTATTCCTTACACCCACAGAGCCAACCCTGCTGAAGGTGAGACTACCATTTAATTGTACGGGTTGAAGAAGTGCAATGTAAGTTGAATTTACAGATTTACCAACTGAAAGAGCTTTGTTTGAGAAGGCTGGAACCCTGTGGTTTGAAATGGAAACACATGGGTGAACTTAAACAATGCTGAGCATCCAGAGACTCCTGGGTTTTCTAAGTCGTCTTTACCAGGAAAGGCTTCCCCTCCTTTCTCCAAGGAAACTAGCTCTCCTTTGCTTGAAGACCATATAATAAATGTACCTGAGGCAGCAGTATGGTAGGGAAACATTAAGTACCTCAAGACCTACCCAAACTACCCTTTACTGGCTCCAGACCTATATTTTGTGTCAGATCTCAGCAGGTTTGTAGGAAACAAATGTGAACCAAGAAAAAGTTTATATTTCAAAATAATTGTAATGTTTTGTTCATCTATATCATCAGAAACCTTGGGAAATATATGTGAGAATGAATTCTAAGAGTGTTAAACCATCAAGAACAAAATATAATTTTTGATTATGCCAAATGATTGATATGGATGCACTTAACAAAGACTAAATTTAATGTGATGACTTCTTCAGCTAGTAGCAGCTCTAGTAGTTTTTATTTTTAACTAAAATGTGGACTAGAAAGTGGCCTATATTCAGTAAGGTTAATATGCTAGTATTTTAGTAAAATGTAGAAGAAGGGATCTGATGGTTTAGGAAGACATGGATGTGGAAGTATATTTATTATGTGGTATTTGGAGACAATAACCCTTTCAACAAAATATTGAGAAATACTTTAAACATGGAGGCTTCCTGAGAGTGAGTGGTACAGAAGACCAACACTGAATTCTCAATGTCTTTTATGACCTATCCTTACAAATCGCACACCATCACTTCCTCATTATATTATTGGTTATACAGTTTAACCTGATTCAAGGCAAGAGGGAATTGTACAAGGACATGAACAGCAGGAGGGAAAGATTTTTGAAGGCATAAAAATAACATAAAAACTAAAAATATTTGGAAGCTGGCTACTACAACTTGTTTGTGCATTTGACCTTAAAATAATCAAAATACCTTAAAAGATTATGTTAAAATTAGAATAGACATGTCTGTCATAGCAGTGTCTTAAACTATGAAGGAAAAGTTGTAATACTTAGGTATTCTAATTGACTATTGATTTGCTAGCATAATCAATGTGAGGAAATAAGTAACTAAATACAAAATTTGACCATACATCTCTTGTTTGACAGACACAAAACACAAAAATAACTGAAAAAATAATCTCAAATTTTGTGTGTGTGTGAACATGTTGGTGGTAGTTCCAGTAGTGTTTTTTTTGAAACTGTTATATGTATATTATATTTAGAATAAAGCAAATTAGCAATTATACTGGTGTCATCAAGGACATGGATTTTCAGGTATAATATCAATGAAGTCATATACAATTCCCATTCAATTAGTTCCACATTTGGAATTCAAAGATTCTGCATCGACTCATTAAGTATTACATATGCATCTACTAGCTCTTCCTTTGAAAAGGCCTAGAAACAACAAATTAGCCTAGTTGCCTTACTTCACTAGTGCTCAGATTAGAGTCTGTATATATCATTTTCTATAAAAGGGAGCCAGCAGCTCCTTGAGTGACTAATTCCAGTGCTGGGGGAAAAATGTATGAGATGAGTCTGGAACATTTTGTCAACCCGAAAGCAAAATAATCTAACAGAGACTGCTGGGGTTTAATCAAAAGGACTCAGAAGGCACCTTGAAGCATCCTCTACTGGAAAATGAATTAAAATAAATCAAACATCATTAAATCCATGGGCTCTTAAGATTCTTTTAAAATACAATAGAAAAGAAAACTCTTTGTTCACCTTTGGAAGATGCTATTCATTATTTTGAAAAGTGGTTAACACAGAAAAGAATTAAGCATTTACTCACTTTTTTCTATATCAACTGTATCTCAGGGCAACCAAGTATGTCTTGAGCAGTTTCACCTGATAATTAGGTTTAGCTAGCAAGTGTAAGAGATATAATTATAGTATCAGCTGACAGGAGGGCATAGGGTTATAGAAGCAAAACCAAAAGACCTTACTTAAAATTCTATACAGTCACACCTTCTGGGGAGGGGGCTAAAGGGAAAGGGAAAGAAGAAAAAAATATATTAGGGGGAAATGAAGAGAAAAGAAAAAAAAATCCTACCTGCACAAAAAATAATCACAAAAAGTAGAAGTGCCAAAATCTGCGATAAGAAAGAACCAAACAGTGCAAGAATTTTGGCACCATGAAAAATCTGAATGTAGTGACACCACCAAAGGATCACATTAGCTCTCTGGCAAAGGTCTCTAACCAAAATGGAAATGACAGAAATGACAGAAAAATAATTAAAAACAAAAATTGAAAGGAAGCTTAACAAGATCTAAGACAAGGTTGAAAATCCACACAAAGAAATTTGTAAAGCAATCCAGGAAATGAAGGAAGGGATGAACATCCTAAAAAAGAAACCAATCAGAGTTTCTGGGTTGCAAATCTCACTTAAGAAATTTAAAACTACAATTGAATCTTTATCAATAAACTGGACCAAGCCAAAGAAAGAATTTCAGAGTTTGAATACCAGTCTTTCAAACTAACCCAGTCACACAAAAATAAAAAGTAAAGAAGTTTTTAAATGGACAAAGTCTTCAAGAAATATGGGATTATGTAAGGCAACCAAACCTATGAATTATTTGCATTCCTGAGAAAGACAAATAAAAGAACCTGAAAAATATATTTGAGGGAATAATTCAAGGAAATTTTCATAATCTTGTTAGAGAAGTAGATGGCCAGATGCAAGAAATACAGAGACCACCTGTATGATACTATAAACAAATGAACATCACCAAGGCATATAGTCACCAAACTGCCCAAGTTTAATGCTAAAGAAAAAGGACTCAAAGGCAGCTAGAGAAAATGGTCAGATCATGTACAAATGGAGCCCCATCAGGCTAACAGCAGACTTCTCAGCAGATACCTTACAAACCAGGAGAGATTTGGGGTCTATTCTCAGCATTCTTAAAGAAAATAAATTGCAACCAAGAATATCATATCATGCCAAACTAAACTTCATAAGTGAAATAAGAAATCTTTTACAGACAAGCAAGTGATAAGGGAAACTGTTACCACTAGACCAAGCTTACAAGAAATCCTTAAGGGAATTTTAAACATGGAAACAAAAAAACCATAACTCCTACCACAGAAACACATTTATGAACACAGTCCGCAGACCCAGTGAAGCAACCAGACAATAGAAAATACAAAGCAACGGCTAACGACTTTATGGGAGAATCAAAATTTCATATATAAATATTAACCTTGAAAGCAAATGGCCTAAAGGCCCCACTTAAAAGGCACAGAGTTGCAAGTTGGATTAAAAAAACAAGATCCATCCATCTGCTGTCTTCAAGGGACCCATCTCACAGGTAATGGCACACATAGGCTTAAAGTAAAGGGTGAAAGAAAGATCTATCATGCAAATGCAACACACAACAAAAGTAGGGGCCATTATTCTTATATCAGATAAAACAGACTGTAAACCAACAACAGTAAAAAAGGACAAAGAAGGGCATTACACAATAATAAAGAGTTTGATCAAACAAGAAGACTTAACTCTCCTAAATATATAAACACCTGAAATTAGAGCACTCAGATTGATAAAACAAATATGTCTAGACCTGCAAAAAGACTTAGACAGCCACACAATAATAATGGGGGACTTCACCCCACTTACAGTATTAGATCATCAAGGCAGGAAACTAACAAAGAATTTCTGGACTTAAATTCAACACCTGACCAATTGGACCTAATAGATACCTGCAGAATAACCCACCCATCAACCACAGAATATACATTCCTCTCATTTACATGTGGAACATACTCCGAGACTGACCACATGCTTGACCATAAAGCAAGTCTGAATAAATTCAAAAAAATCAAAATTATACCAACCATAATCTTAGACCACAGTGGAATAAAAATAGAAATCAGTATAAAGAAGATCTCTCAAAACCACACAATTACATGGAAATTAAACAACTTGCTTCTGAATGACTTTGAGTAAACAACAAAATTAATGCAGAAATAAAAAATCATTTGAAATAAATGAATACAGGGACACAACATACCAAAATCTCTGGGATGCAGCAAAATCAATGTTAAGAGGGAAGTTGATAGCACCTAAATGCCCACCTCAAAAAATTAGAAAGATCTCAAATTAACAATGTAACATGACACCTAAAGGAACTAGAAAAACAAAATCAAACTAACCCCAAAGCTAGCAGAAGAAAAGAAATAACTAAAAGCAGAACAAAACTGAACAAAATTGAGACCCAAAAATGCGTCTTTAAAAACCCAGTGAAACCAAAAGTTGGTTATTGAAATAATACACAAGATTGATAGACTGCTGTCAAGGTTAACAAAGAGCAAGTATCCAAATAAGTACAATCAGAAAGGACAATGGTGATATTACAACCAATCCTACAGAAATACAAAGGATCCTCAGAGACTATTATGAACAGAAACTCTATACACACAAACTAGAAAATCTATGAGGATATAGATAAATTCCTCAAAACACATAATATCCCAAGATTGAATCAGAAATAAATTGAGGGGCTGGGCATGGTGGCTCACACCTGTAATCCCAGAACTTTGGGAGGCCGAGGCAGATGGAGCACTTGAGGTCAAGAGTTCAAGAACAGCCTGGTCAACATGGTGAAACCCTGTCTCTACCAAAAATACAAAAAAAAAAAAAAAAAAAAAAAAGCCAGGCGTGGTTGTGAGTGCCTGTAATCCCAGCTACTTAGGAGGCTGAGGCAAGAGAATTGCTTGATTCCAGGAGGCAGAGATTGCAGTGAGCCAAGATTGCACCACTGCACTTCAGCCTAGGTGATAGAATGAGACTGGTCTAAAAAAAAAAAAAAAAAAAAAAAAAACTTGAAACCCTGAACAGACGAACATGAGTTCTGAAATTGAATCAGTAATAAAAAACCTACTCACTCACAAAAAGCTCCAGACCAGAAGGATACACAGCTGAATTCTAGCAGATGTACATAGAAGAGCTGGCACAAGTCCTATTGAAAGTATTCCATAAAATTGAGGTGGAGGGACTCTTCCCTAGTTGATTCTATGAAGCCAACATCACCCTGATACAAAAACCTGGTAAAGACAAATGAAAAAAAAAAAAAACTATCTGCCAATATGTTTGATAAGCACAGATGTAAAAATTATCATTAAAAAAGTTAATTCTACATGATCAAGTAGGCTTCATTCCTGGAATGCAAGGATGGTTCATATATGCACATCAATAAATGTGATTCACCACATAAACAGAATTGAAAACAAAAATCGTATAATCATCTCAAAAGATGCAGAAAAAGCTGTTAATAAAATCTAACAGCTACTCATGAAAAGAACCCTCAAGAAACCAGGTATCCAAGGAACATACCTCAAAATAATAAGAACCATCTATGACAAACCCATAGCCAACATCATACCAAACAAGCAAAGCCTGGAAGCATTCCCCTTGAAAACTGGGAAAAGACAAGGAGATGTAGTCTCATCACTCCTATTCAATACAAAAAGTCTTTGCCTGAGCAATCAGGCAAAAGAAATAAATAAAAGACATCCAAAGAGGAAAATAAGTCAAACTATCTCTCTGTACCAATGATATGATTGTATACCAAGAACAATCCTAAAACCCCTGCTAAAAGTCTCCTGAAACTGATAAATGACTTCAGTAAAGTTTAGGATACAAAATCAACATACAAAAATCAGTAACATTTCTATGCACCAATATGGTTGAAACTGAGAGTCTTATCAAGAACACATTCCCATTTTCAATAGCTTCAGTGAAAAATAAGATACCTGGGAATACACCTAACCAATGAAGTGAAAGATCTCTACAAGGAGAATGATAAAACACTGCAGAAGGAAATCAGAGATGACACAAACAAATAGAAAAACACTCCATGCTCATGGATAGGAAGAATGAATATTGTTAAAAAGACCATACTGCCCAAAGCAATGTACAGATTCAATTCTATTTCTATCAAGGTACCACCATCATTTTTCACAGAACTAGAAAAAAACTATTATAAAATTCATATGGAACCACAAAATAGCCTGAATAGCCAAAGCACTCCTAAGCAAAAAGAATGACCCAGAGGGATTACATTACCCAATTTCAAACTATACTAGAATGCTACAGTAACCAAAACAGCATAATACTGGTACAAAAACAGATATATACACCAATGGAACAGAATGGAGAACCCAGAAATAAAACTGCACACCTACAACCCTCTGACTTATGACAAAGTTGACAAAAATAAGCAATGGGGAAAGGCATCTCTATTCAATAAATGGCTAGCCATGTGCAAATGAATAAAATTATACCCCTATCTTTCACCATATACAAACATTAACTCAAGATGGATTAAATATTTAAATGTAAGACCCCAAACTATAAGAATTCTAGAAGAAAACCCAGGAAACACCATTTGGGACATCAGCCTTGGGAAGGAATTTATGACTAATTCCTCAAAAACAATGGCAACAAAAACAAAACTTGATAAGTGGGACCTAATTAAACTAAAGAACTTCTGCACAGGAAAGAACTATCAACAGAGAATTTACAGAATAGGAGAAAATATTTGACAACTATACATCTGAGAAAGGTCTAATATCCAAATGTATAGGAAATTAAACAATTCAACAAGCAAAAAACATATAATCCCAGTTAAAAATGAGCAAAAGACACAACAGGCATTTCTCATAATACGATAGAAATGCAGCCATCAAACATGCAAAACAAGTTCCACATTACTAATCATCAGATAAATGCAAATCAAAACTGGAATGAGATACCATCTCACATCAGTCAGAATAATTATTATTAAAACATCAATAAACAAATGCAGGCAAAGCTGCAGAGAAAAGGGAAAGTGTAGGTACTATCGGTGGGAATGTCAATTAGTTCAGCCACTGTGAAAAGTAGTTTAGAGATTTATCAAAGAACTTAGAACTACCATTCAACCCAGCAATCCCATTACTGGGTATCCATCTAAAAGAAAATAAATAGTCCTACCAAAAAGACACAGTTACTTGTATGTTCATTGCAGCACTATTCACAATAACAAAGGTATGGAATCAATCTAGGTGCCCATCAATTGTTGACTGGATAAAGAAAATGTGGTATACATATATCATGGATACTATGCAGCCATATGAAAGAACAAAATCATGTCCTTTGCAACAACATAGATGCAACAGGAGGCCATTATCCCAAGTGAATTAACACAGAAACAGTAAACCAAATACCACATGTACTCACTTAGAAGTGGGAGCTAAACAATGGGTACTCATGTACGTAAAGATGGCAACAGTAGACCCTGGGGACTACTAGAGCAGGGATGAAGAGAAGGGGGCAAGGGTTAAAAAACTATTGGGTATTATACTCAGTACCTGGGTGACAGGATCAATCATACCCCAAACGTCAACCTCATACAATATACCCAGGTAACAAATCTGCATGTGTACCCCCTGAATCTAAAATAAAAGTTGAAATTATTTTCAAAATAATAATAAATATCACCATTTTGCAGTCCATAGTGAATTAATGAATTTAGATAAATGATAGATTTGGAAAAAGAGGCATCCACGCTTCCTTTTGGAAATACACAAAACATCCTCTGAAGTATTTATGCCAAAGAATCTAACCTGAAGATGATCAAGCCCATAGATCTAACTTCCCAGTTTCAGGAAAAATGAATCAGAGGAACATATTACATAATTCCATAGGAAAATTCAGACTGTCATGAATTATAAGACGAATGACTCAGCTTCTTCAAAACGTAAATTGCAAGATAAAAGAGAGAAAAGTATTAGTATTTTAAAATTAAAAGACTTACATATATAAACCAATTACAGTCCGAAAAGTTGTTTGTCTCTTGGTCTCACTTGAACATTTTTGTGAAACAACAGGCCATATTTGAACATGGACTATGAGATTTTCTATTAAGTTATTATTTTTAGTGTAGTAGGGATATCAAAAAATTTTTAAAAGCTTGTAGTATGTAGATATATGTATTGAATACAGATTAAAGATATGACTGATATTTGCTTCAAATTAAAATCAAGGAAGGTGAGTGTGGCTATAAATGAAACAAACTGGCACTGAGTTGTAATTGTTGAGTTTGAGTTAATAGGTATATGCCATTGAATTATATTATTTTCTATACCTTTACATATATTTGGAAATTTTTATTTTTTATATAGATATATATAAAATATATATGTATATATATGTGTGCGTGTATATATATATATGTGTGTGTGTGTATATATATATACTTTTTTTTTTTTTTGAGACAGGGTCTCGCTCTGTCACCCGGGCTGGAGTATGGTGGTGCCATCTCGGCTCACTGCAAGCTCCACCTCTTGGGTTCATGCCATTCTCCTGCCTCAGCCTCCCGAGTAGCTGGGACTACAGGTGCCCGCCACCACACATGGCTAATTTTTTGTATTTTTAGTAGAGATGGGGTTTCACCATGTTAGCCAGGATGGTCTCGATCTCCTGACCTCCTGATCCGCCCGCCTCAGCCTCCCAAAGTGCTGGGTTTACAGGCGTGAGCCACCGCGCCCGGCCTATAATATATATTTTTAATTAAAAATAAAGGATATGTGTTTTAGATTTTTGCTATAAGGCCATGAAAAGCACTTTTAATTTTGATGGTTGTATCACCACGTCTTGTGTAGTCCTACAATGGTATACATTTCATACATGACAATTCCTATGATTAAAGTAGCTTCTCCTTGATCTGTTTTGTTTCTGGCACATGAGACACCAGCAACCTTATGGATTAGGACATGTCTTTATGCCCAGGCTCTAAGACATGAGGCTAGAGCTAACAATAAAAGTAATGACTAAGCACTGTCTGTTATTTACCTTTAGTTAGATGCTCAAAGCTTTGCTTTGAATTCAACAATAAGCCAATGTAGTTTTGGCTGAAAATAGTCACTTAATTTTATAGCTTATTGACTTTGACAGTCTAAGAGAACATGAATTGTAGAGAGATTTGATGTACATGGGAATAAAGTGATTGGGCTAGTGTCTTATTATCCTTGCACCTCCACTTTTTCCCATTGTGCCTGGCATACAGTAAGTAATAAATAAATTTTGATTTATCATTTTAAAAAGGAAGAGAGAGGTTGAGGGAAAGAGAGCTAGAGGAAGGGAGGGAGGGAGAATGGAAGGAAGCTGTACCATTTATCTATTGTTGCAATAATGCTGTGTAAAAAGAACCATGAAACCTCAGTGGCATACAAAAATCAGCTTTCTGTGCCCAATTGTCTGGGGTACTTTCTAGGTAGATCTGCTGAACTTTATTGCATTTGCAGGTCTCAGATGAGACAACAGGAATATATTGGCTGTACAACATGTCTCTTACAGTCTAGCAGGCTAGATCAGGTATGTCCTCATGGTAATAGAAACAGTACAAGAGAGAGAGCAAGCTCAATCATTCAAGTACTTTTCCAGCTTCTGCTTGGTCGTGTTTTGCTGCATCCTGCTGACCCAAGCAAGACACACAGCCAATCTGAGAACATTACTAAGTTAGATGACAAAGGACACGAATACCTGGAGCTGGGAAGACTAAGGCCTTTTTTTTGTTTGTTTTGGCCATCTTCCACAACAGAAATAAAAATATTAAATACGTGGCTGAGCACATGGGAGCTCTGAATATTGATTGCTTTTCTCTTTCAACTCCTAAACAAAGACAATTGGAATTATAGTGCCAATTAACTGAATTAACTTTTGGCTTTGATTTTTTTTAGTTCCATTGGAGCTTTTATATCATATTTTCATTAATCCAACAAATATTTATTGAGTTCAACCTCTTTGCAAATATCTGTATAAAGCATTGTCATTTGCACATGGTAACTACTTGATAAATATTGACTTAAACAGCAATTTTAGTCATAGATTCTTTGTCTATGTAGCCCCATTTCTTATTTGGCATCATTATCTCATATCCAAGAGTTGTTCTAGGTGAATCAAGTGTTAGCCTGCTTCTCCACTCCTTATATTTCCTTGGATATGGAGGGAGCCCCATCTTCTAGGATCCTTGGCCTCTGTATCCATATTCTGACTCCACATCAGGTGGACAGCTTTTTAACTAGTGAGCATGGAAGGAGAAACTGAGCACTTGTAGTTCTATCTTTCTATTTCTCTTTATAGAACAGTTTTAAACCAAAGCTATTTTTCTACTTTGATCCTCTAAGAAGTCCCTGTTACTGTGGGAAGAATCCCACCCAATTTGGGGCTGAACACGAAGAAGCTTACTTTGCCTTCCAATAGAAGCCTCCAGTATTCTTTGTATCCACAAAAGAGGCATTTTGGTTTCTGTTTCCTTGATTCTGGTTTAGAACTGGTATGTGGAAAATACATTCTAGTTATGCTTCCCCACCTTCGAGATACATCCAGTAACTCATATTTTATTATTCTCCAGTGACATATTGTACTTATTATCAGAGTGTTGGTAGTCACATGCATTAGAACTAATCCAAAGTAGAATACATGAATACGTTGCCCAGACTACATAATCAGTGGCTTCCTCAAATGTTTTTCCAGGATGGCAGTGTGCATACAGTGCTAAATGCTTGACCAAAAGTTTTAAATATAATCAATTATCTGATCTATAAAATGATTAATATCCAGAACTTTGAAAATATCAAAATGACACCCTTTCTTATATGCTTTTCAGTGTCAACTTTTGTCTGCGGATTTAATTTAAAGTCACTTTTACACTGAAAATTTCAATAGCCTCCATTTTCAATAACATGTTTCTTTTTATTTCCCAAATGATCTACTAACTTTAGTTTTGTGTAGTGTATTTTATGCAAGTATTTTCCCAAACCAGTTGTATAATATATTTTAAAAAATCAAAGATAGCTAGCTAATCTTGCAAATAGAGATGCTGGATATACAAATTTTAAGTGACATCAGCCCTGGCCTATGTTTGAAAATAAAGAGTAGTTAATTTCCGTGATTTACTATTATTTACACTTATTTGCTAACAACTTATATTTAAGCTTATTTTTAACCATCAAAAGAGTATTTCCAGGTATGTAATATAAGTGTTTTGTTTATGAGTAATGAAATTATTATAATTATACTCACAGATTACTTATTTGGTTCCAAACTGAACGGTGAGTAATAATAAAGTGAATTAAACATTATTTATGAGTTAAGCTGTACCTTTTCATGACCTACTGTGCTTTCAGTGGTAAGCAAGGGCATAGGAAAGATAAGATCTATCATATCTTATCTTTCTATCTTGTATTTCTATCTCCATAGAAATACAGTTCATCCTTCTTGTTCAAAAAGTGTTTGGATAGGGTTCACTACTGATTTGAAATTTAAATAAAATTTTGCTCCGGAGTGAGAAGATTTTGTTAGTCATGCATGTATTGCTTTTTTTCTAATATGACCTCTGTTTTCAAATGAATGACTTGTTCCTCTTCAAAAGCTGATGGATTCTATGAGGGGGAAAATCTACTACAGCTTTGAAAGACAACTATTTGCTTTTAATGCTTATTTCAATATTTTTTGATGCAGAAGCTAAAATGCATCAAAACCAATTTTCCTGGTTTTATTTATATCAGGCTTATCATTTTGGAAATGTACTAGGTATACGAATTTAATGGAAGGACTGTGACTTTTCATGCAATCCTAAACATGGCTCTTAATTTAAACATACTGAAAAATGTGAAAAGTGTGGGATAAAAATAACATTGCTTTACTTATACTAGATAGTGGGTCTCTTTGGTTGCATTATATGACTGAGTTGCAAAACAAATATATAGAGTACATATATTGTGTTCTTTTCATATTACCTCTTTTATAGTAGGAAATTGACTGATGTAGTTGATTAAGCCCATTTCACCAGAAAATGAGGCAAAGTTTATTTTACTCTATCTAAAAATAATTTTAAAGGCCAACTCTAATCTCATATGTAAATAGCTATTAGCTAGGTACTAGAGATGCCTTTCATTGTCATCAAAATTAAAACCTTTATATAGCACAAGAAAATAGATTCATTTTGTAAAATAATACTCTTTCATTCTGCCTGGGAAGCCTTGAGGTTTTAGCAATAATAACTGTAGAATTAATATTAACACTTATTTTTGTTCATAGAAAATTATATTTACAGAGATTTAACCTTTTAATTTAAAGATTTAACATTTTAAATTTAACATTTTAATCAGTGGAGTTTTCAGATTTTTTTTTAATTCACAATCGCTGTTGTCCTTAGATGTTTTTTATAGCTCAGATAATTCAAAAGATGAGCATAAATTTAAAAAGCTTAGCCAAGGTCTACCATAAAAGCAAAAAAGAATTATACAGCTCTCTGTGTACAATGGGTAAAACTGTAAAACAAAAATCACTTCTTAAAAAGTATTTTATTGTTCTTTTATTAAATCATTGGACATATATTAAGTGGCAACTTATGCTAGCTACAGCACTAAGTCTGTAAGAAAGAAGGAAAACAAAAATCTGCTAGCATATTTAAGCTTTGTAATTATTTTAGGACACAGGGTTGGGTACTATTATACTCTTTATTTTCTAGATGAACACACTGAAGCTAGCTATGTTAAATAAATTTCCCAGGCTATACAGCTGGGAAATGGTAGAGATTGAATCTGGATTTATGCTTTTTGGCATTATATCATAGATGACTCTTTTTTACTTGATGGTTTATTTGCTTATTTCCTCCACTAGACCCTAAACTCCTTGAATTCTGAAATTTATACATTTTCCTCCCCTTGAAAATACCTTTGCGAATCACATTATCTGGAACTCACTAAATGTGGCACTCACAATAAATGCTTAAACAGTCTCCATTTAAAAGTCATTTTTATTAGTGGGTCTTTCCTATCATATTTAAAATTATAAATCTATCCCATCCCCCCACACCAATTTTCCCTAAGTTTCAACTCTGTCTATTTTCCTTATTCTTATGACCATTTGACACACACACACACACACACACACACACACACACACACATATATATATTTTTTTTATAGGTTTATTATTATCTTTCAATCTTTGCTGGAAACTAAGCTCTATGAAATAAAATGTTTTTGTCTGCTTTTCTCACAGCTGAGACAAAATAGTGCTGGAACATAGTACAACATTTAATAAATATTTGTCGAATGAATTAATAAACATCCGGTTATCGGGATATAAAATAGACATCAGAGAAAACCCAGCTTGAAAGCCACTGCAAAAATCCAGATGCTGACTAGCATGACTAAAATGGTGGTAGTGAAAAGAGGAGAGAAAATAATGAGTCTAAGAAACATTTAAGGGATAAGCAAGGTTGGTCTTGCTTACCAAATAGATAAACATTAGGCAGTGTCTTTTACATGTGCAAAGACTTACATGACATCAAATGAATTCCTGGCATCTTAGAGCTGGAAAAACTTAGACCTCAAGGTCATCACACTTTGTCCCCTCAATATGAGGAGGAAACTGAGATTCAGGCTGGTTATGTAACATACCCAAGAGTTCCCCTACTACGACATGTTTCTTTGGTAAGCAGCAGCATCTAGGTTTATAATGTATCATTGTAATTTTTGTGAAGGTAAAATTTAATATGAAGTTTTGGTTAATTTTGGTATGCACCAAAATCAGTTGTGAACTGAACTAATGGGTCCCTCTGATTAGTTCTTATGTATTTCTAGCCATTCAACCACTCCTCTCTAACCCAAATATCAATATTTTGCATATGGAACTAAATAATAGCAAAGTCTAAACTTAAACAAAATTCTAAATGGGTAATGAGAAAATTAGAAACTATAAAATACAGGGAAATTCCATAATAAGAGTTTGATAAGATTATGCCTTTTGTACTTGCAATACATCTATTAAATGTTAAAATTGATCTTTAGAGCTAGCTGAATATAAACGTTTTTCTGATACTTAAGAATGTTACAAGAGGAAAAAGTTCATCTTAGCAAGGTTGTAAATGAAATTTAAAAAGGTTATTTCAGAGTACAAATTTGAACCATAACACAGAAAAACTAGCATTTTAAAAATTTCCTTTTATTCATAAAATTAAACTTGAAAGAGTGGTTTTAACACCATGCTATTCCAATTCTCAGACTTGTTACACTCTAAATAAAAAAGCACAGTGATGACAAGTCTCCACAAATATTTGTAGATACAATTAAGCACACATTTAATATTTATATATGTGTCTTTAAAAGATTACCAATAAATAAGTGGTGAAATGGTGATGTTAACTAGGCAGCATTTTATATGTTTGTTATAACTTTGCAAAACCCTGGGCAAATTAATAATATGGGTCCCAGAAAGATGACTAACCTGGGTCCAGACAAATTAACTATAAAACAAGTTAAACTTCATAGGAGTGCTAAGATGTTATTATTTCACCCCAAATTTTTTTAGTTTACAAGATTTGTTGCTGCACTAAAATAGCACAAAACAAGTAAGATTTGAATTTTTTTCTTTTTCTTTTTTTTTTTTTTTTTTTGACACGGAGTCTAGCTCTGTCACCCAGGCTAGAGTGCAGTGGCAAGATCTATCTCTGCTCACTGCAACCTCTGCCTCCTAGGTTCAAGTGATTCACCTGCCTCAGCCTTCCAAGTAGCTGGGATTTACAGGCGCATGCCACCATGCCCAAATAATTTTTGCATTTTTAGTAGAGACAGGGTTTCACCATATTGGTCAGGCTGGTCTCGAACTCCTGACCTCAGGTGATCCACCCGCCTCAGCCTCGCAAAGTGCTGGGATTACAGGCGTGAGCCACTGTGCCCGGCCAGATTTGAATTTTAACCAATTACCCATGATTTATGTATTTTTTCCCCACACTCCCCACGTCCCTTTTGATGACTTCCTTGCCTTGGTGGAGTCAGAAAATGAACAACCATCCCAGAGGCCAGGGTGTCACTCTATTCTGAGGTCTTCCAAAACTGGCATAGGTGCTATTTTCTGCTTCTAAAAGAAAAACACAGGTAGCCATATAAGTGTTAGTGTTTTCAAGCCTACACCTAGTTCATCTTGTAACTTCACCTGAACCTGAAGCTCCATGATAGTCAGGCCCCATGTTTAGCACATTTGGGCTTCTGCTCTGTCTACACTGCTTCCAGGGCTGTAGCTTCATAAGCAGCTGCAGTTGGCCTCACTCCTGATCTGCTGGTTGTTGCCTAGCTCACCTGTATTCCACACTTTTTGAGCCTGCAATATTTTCTGTTTCATGGCTGATGACTCTGGTTCCCATTTCACTGGGAAAATACAAGCACTAAGAGAAGTTTCTCCCCATTCTTATCACCATATTTCTTAGTCTAGCTTTACTTCTGCTTTTTTTGTGAATATACTCTCCATGCACCTATGAAAGGCCAATCCCTCTTATCTTCTGGATACCATGCGTTCAAACACACCATTCCAGCCATTGTTCCCTTCCTCTTCTACTTTTTAAAATATTTTCTTCACTACTCATCCCTATCAACATACAAACATACTAAAATGCCTCTCTTTAGAATGTTTCCCTTGAAGCTATATGCTTTTGAGTTACCATCCAATTTCTCTTATGTCTGTTTAATCATCCTTCATATTCCTTCAGCTCTCCTTTCTCGCTCCCCGGTCATCTTGACAGCTGCTCCTGACTGGGGGCCATCCTGCACCTTAAAACAAGAAGACGGTGGCAGAACATGAGATTAAAAAGTCACTGAAGTCCATCAACTCTAGGCTTCAACTCGTTATTAAAAGTGGAAAGTATGTGCTTGGGTACAAGAAAACTCTGAATTCGATCATGCAAGACCAAGTGAAATTGCTCTTCCTTGCCAACATTCTTCCTGCCCAGCTTTGAGGAATTCCCAAATAGAGTACTACAGCATGTTGGCCAAAATTGGCATCCATCACTAAGAATATTGAATTTGGTCAGTGTGCAGAAAATACTGCAGAGTATGTACACTGGCTGTCACTGATCTAGGTGGCTGATATCCTTAGAAGCATGCCAGAACAGATGGGTGAAAAGTAAACCATGCAAAATTTTTCTTTAATAAAACTTACCAAAGTTTGTTTTAAAAAGTAATTTACAAGAGAGTTCCATACTGTCTTCTTTCATAGTCTGTTGAGCCCTTTCCATCCCCTAACCTGTCACCAAAGTTTCTGATAGCTACTATATTGCTAAATATAATATCAATTTTACTCCACATCAGCAGCTTTTGACAGAATTGCTCATACCCTCCTCAACATATTCTCTTCACTTGGTTTCTGACTACCACATCTCCCTCAGCTCCCCCTGTACTTTACTGGCTGGTTGTTCTCAGTCTTCTTTGCTTGTTCCACTACATCCTCTCCACCTGCAACCCAGAGCTTAGTTCTCAGGCATCTTCTCATCTCTAAGCACACAAACTCCCTGGGGGACCTCATTCTATTTCATGCTTTTAAGTACAATCTAAAAAAATGGCAACCCTCAAATAAATATTTGCAGCCTAGACATGTCCCTCTGACATGTATATATTCATCTGTGTCTTCCACATCTCTACCTGGTTGTCTCAATATTACCAGATCCAAAACCAAACTTCCCATTTACCCCCACCAACCCTGTATCTCTCATATTTTTGTCCAGCTCAGCAAATGTCAACTTCATGGTTCCATTTTTTTCTAGACAAAATCTTTGGAGTCATCTTTGACTCTCTCTCTTTCTCATACATTGTGTCCAATCCACCAACAAAACCTATAGGCTATAGATTTTTAACATAATCATCTTACTACCTTTACTCTTCTTAAAATAACCATCCTATTAAAATAACCATCTTACTACCTTTACTGCTACCACCTCAGTCCTGACTATCACTGTTACAGGAAAAATTTGGGATGCTAATGTCCCCTCCAAACTGGGAAGGAGCTGAGAGACCAAAGAATGACTCAGGCAAGTCCAGTTTGACAAGATGAATGTATTAAGACTTACATACAGCACACCCCTGGCTGGTGGCAGGACAGCTCTAGAGATCCATGCAGCCTCCCATTACTAAGCTGCTTTTAACTAATTTTCTTGCTCCTTGCCTTTTGTGGTTGAGCTTTGATAAGACTCTTTTTCTCAGTGGGTTCTCATATACTCTCTGGGATGTTTGGGTTCTCAGGGACACCTGCTCCTTGGCTAGGCACCATGGTCTTGGCTCACTGCCCAGCCTTCAGGGTTCAGGCAGGGGAACATACACCCTTATGTAGTCTGGTCGGGGACCTATCATGCTATAATAATCATTTCTGAGATTATTGAAACAGCTTTCTAACTAAAATCCTTGTTTTTACCCTTGCTCTCTCAAAACTATTCTCCACAGAGATAAGTCACAACAATCCTTTTAAAGTCTAAGTCAGATCACTGCCATTCTATGCTGAGAGCCCTCAGTTGCTTCCTGTCTCATTCAGAATAAAAGGCAAAATCCTCAGTGCCCTCTAGTTCTGGTTCCCTGAGGCTTCTTTGACCTCACCTTCTCCACTCTCCCCTTTGTTCTCTACTGACTTTCGATGATTTCCTTGCTATTCTATGAAAAGACCAACCTTGTCACCTTGGTACCTTGGCTGTTGCAGTTTCTTCTGCATAAAATGTTCTTGTCCAAATATTGTCACAGACTTCCTTCCTATCTCTGATCTACTTTGTTTCATCAGACAGGCTTTTCTTAAACTCATATAACAGGGTAACACTCCATCTTTGACTCTTTTTATCTCCTTATTATACTATATTTACCTCCATAGCACTTACCACCACCTGACATATGCCAGCCTCCCACACTAGAAGGATGGGTCAAGGAAGAAACATTATTTGGTGCATTGGTTTAACTCCAATACCTAGAACAGTGCCCAGTAAACAATAGCTGTTCAATAAATGTTTGTTGAATGCTGTTGTCACCCATTACAGCTAAAAGGACAATTCTATGCTTGCTAAATGCAGCCAACTCTTTCTTCAGACATTTTAATCAAAACAACAAAAATTTGGTGGAATTCCATGTAGCTCTTTATTTCCAATATGTATGTCTTGGCAAATGTGCTCCTTGGTTTTATAATCCCTTTCCTTCCCACCTTGGTCACCCTTCTTATGTTTGTCAGCATGGATTTAGAAACTTAGCACTGTCCATTTCATTAATGACCTGTAGAGTAAATTGCTGCAAATAATTGCCTCCAGCACCTAAGATGCAGAGAACTAAAGTAACAAACACTATACCCTTAAATCCAAAGGAGGTCTTCAACTCTGCTGCGATTAGAAGATTTTTACATAGTAGATTCTGCTTACTATTTGAAGTGTCAAGTGAAACTTTGTTCCCAGATTCAAGTCACCTTGAAAAGCTTAAATCCCTGGTATAGAAGCCAAGCACAGTAGAGCTTATTTCTCCTGTAATTAGATGAATAGGCTTCATTGGAGGTTAGCTAGACATATCAGTACAGCCTTTTGGCTGCTAACTAGTGCAACTGTGGGTGTTGGCACCATGGGGGCTGGCTGGATACATTTTGGAGCAGGTATCAGCAATCTTTTCCTGCAAAGGGCCAGATAGTAAATATTTTAGGCTTATTGGCCACATACTGTCTCTGTCACATACTCTTTTTCTTTTAACAATTCTTTAAAAAAATGTAAAAACCATTCTTACAGCTCCAGGGATGTACAAAAACAGGTCACATACTGGATTTGGCCCATTGGCTACAATTTGCTAACCTCTGATTTAGAGTTTAGCCTCTTTTTGTAACAAGTAAAATGGGTCATAACAAGTAAAATGGGTCAAATGTAAGATTCCCAGGACCCAGGAGAAGAAAGACCTATAGAGATGGGGTGTTAATAAGGGAAGAAAAATTCAGGAGGCTAAGGCATGCAGATCACTTGAGGCCAGGAGTTTGAGACCCGCCTGGCCAACATGGCAAAACCCAATCTCTACCAAAAATACAAAAAGTACCAGGCCATGGTGGTGCATGGCTGTAATCCCAGCTACTCGGGAGGCTGAGGCAGGAGAATTACTTGAACCAGGGAGGCGGAGGTTATAGTGAGCCAAGATCCTGCCACCGCGCTCCAGCCTGGGTGACAGAACAAGATTCTGACTCAAAAAACAACAACAACAACAACGAAAACTTAACAAGCCACTGAAGAATGTCCTAGCCAACTAGTAATCAGTCGAACAAGTGGAAATTCTAAGTGTAGGCCACACACAGTAAGCTACATGGAATGTTATTTCAAGTGGCCTTACAAGAGGCAGTGGATGAATGTCAAGGCAGGTGAAATATAACTCCGGTGTAAAATAGATCTGTTGGAAAAAGGCGGAAGACCTGAGGACTGGTCTTAAAGGCCTGAGTTTTATTTCTATCCTTGTGAAAAGCATGGCACACACAGAGTTTCTTACTGGGAAGAACCCAGATGAAGCAGTTGACCAAATATGTAGCTACCATTTATTTGGTGTTCATATTTTATGGAAAACTTAGCATGTGCCAGCTATTCTTCTAGGTATTGTAGGTATAGTAGGAGACAGATCAGACAAGGTCCCTGGAATCATGTAGCATGCATTCAAGTCAGGAAATGGAGACAGTGAAAAAAACATGAGTAAACAAGATCATTTCCAATATGGTAAGTTCTTAGCAATCAGTATAGAGGTGGTAAATTAGGATAATGAACCAAACTGAAAGTAACAACCAAGGCTTTAATCACTTGCTGCCAGCAATGAAAACAAGAGGCAAAATAAACACTGGCTCACCAATGTTCCATTTTCCCCCATAGAACAGCACAGAACATGGGGTCAGATGGATGAAGTGCAGGTGGGAGAATCATCTATCTCACTGCCTAGAAGCCCCAAACAAAGGGCTCCTGCCTCTTTATGTATCTATGGGCTGGAGGAGGAGGGGGAAGAGCTAGGAGTGTAAAGGTACTTAGTCAAAATACATGTGCTGAGCCAAGGTCCCTGATAGACAAAGAGGCCTTCAAATGCAGGGGCCTAGGCTAGCAATGCAGATATGCCTCTGAGAGTATAAGCATTGTTGCTGGCTGGGGGAGGGGATGCTATGCTAAGTCCTTGACTACAAACTACCTCCAGAAAAGAATCAGAAACTGCAATGCAATGGCTATGGCGTAGAGACAGCGCTCATCTTCCCACTCCCACCCTAAGGCCTGCCCAGCAAAGCCTTGTAATTGCCTATACTTGTGCCTGAAAGATCACATGTAGAATTTGGGCCTGGAAAAGGACTCCCACTTAGAAGAAAGCTGTGTGTGTGTGCCCGTGTGTGTGTATGTGTGTATAAAAGGAACGCCTCACTGAGAAGACACACTAGCACACCATTAAGCTGGCACTCAAACAACAAGAAGGAGGTCAGTACACAAAAAGTTGTAAGAAATAGCACTCCAGCCAGAAGAAGAGCAATTCCAAAGTGATACAGCAGAAGCTAGGGAGATTCAAGGAACAGAGAAAAGGCCACTGTGTCTGAAGCATTGTAAACAAGGAGAGTCTGTTATGAGATTAGACATCTCATCGCCTGAGCTCCTGCTGTGCTCCAGGCACTTGGCTGGAAGCTAAAGTTATTGCCACAAATAAAACACAGTCTCTGCCACCACTGCATACCCATTCAGACTCAGGTATACTCATTGCAATTAAAAAGAGAAAGCAATTAAGATCAATATTTATTGAGCCTCCGCTGTATCAGGGACTGTGGCAGGAGCATTTTAGTATTGAGTCCTCAAAGCAACCTCGTAAACTGAGTTTTATAATCTGTGTTTTTACCTAGGAAGCAAATACGTCTCATTGAGGTTAAAAACGTTATCAAGTACAACCACTTGGTAACTGCAACTACAGCCTATCTTCTTGCCTCTGTACCACAGTGACTGGCAGTTCGGAGACTGTGATTAAGAACTAGGGTTCAAGGGCCAGTGAAGTCCATGAACTAGGGTAACTTGCTGTTAAACTTGTACCTACTTTCTTGAGACTCTATCTACCTCTGTCCAAGTTTTAGACAAAGGTAGATAAAGGTAGGTAAAGATTTATTTCAGAGTCTTACATGATGCTGAACATACATACTGTCTATGTGGCTAAGACTGCAAGTGCTAGAAGCTGCTGAGAAGGTCAGCATGCAGACCATTATTCCAGCAAACCTCTCAATACCCCACAAGCAGCCTGGGCCCTTTATCCCTGGGCACCCCAGGGTCATATTCCTCACAGTGTGCCATGACTCAATTTTACTTCCACATGGTTTCAGAAACACCATTCTAGCTTACATCTTGAATGGAAACACAGTCCTTTAGAAAAAATGATGGCTGATTAAAAGAAAAAAGCAGTAGGACTTGGCAGAATAAGCAAAAACCTGAGACTGAAGCACTCAAAGTTATTAGACTGGCTCAAAAATAAACCACTGTGTCTGCCTGGGAGATTTCTCTCATCTTCTCTTCCATTTGGTTTTATTTTACTGAGAATATGAATGTGTCAATTTGTAGCAAAAAGAAATGTGTGTCCTAGTGTTCTTATCTTTGAAATGGGGATAACATATACCTACGTTCCGGGGTCTGAGAGGGACAAAGACAGCGTGTCCTGCTCAGCACACAGAGTCTGGTGACGCAATAATCACAGTATTTTTATGGTCTGAATATTTTCTCCCATTGTGTAAGACATTTCTCAAGGCTCAAATGGAATGTCCCCATTATTACCTTCATTTGTTACTATGTTTCTTCTCTTGCATACCGTCTTCCAGGATTACAAAGAGGATGATTAATATTTTAAAGCAGCAGCACCAGAGTGTTGTTACAGACTGTCATTCTAACCAGGGCATTTTAATGCAATTGTGCAATGTGACTGGAGTGGAGACCTCAGGTTAATGTCTACTGTCTTTCACTTTCAATTTAAACAGTAGATTAAGGATGATTTGCTCTTTTTGAACATGACAGAGACCTTTTGAGATGAAATGTCTTTAAGCCAATTTGGTTGCTGAAGTTGTTGGACCCAAATCCCTGAGGGTAAACATTATAGTGACTGCTGAGAAATATCTCTCAAGTTCTTAGAAATGACTGCTTTTCAACTGCAGCAATGACAGGGAGGAATACCAAAACAAAATGCAGCATCATTTCTGTCCCTCACATTGAATCTATTCATATCAAGACAACACTTTCCTTAGCAAAAAAATTACAGCTTATTTCTATTCACTATTATCTTTTTTTCCTTTTATTGAGTGGTACATCATTGATTCTTCTCTTTCCTGAAAATATGCTATACATCCTTATCCACCATAGTTTTAAAAGCTGTATCATCCAACTCTTAGTTTTTCTTTGATTCAATTCAATGCTGCCATGGGCTGTCAAGCATTTCTGATGCGAGCTTAGGCAATTAACCCCTCTTCTGTATTGTGTTCTCAATTTTTTTTTCAGTGGGGGTAAACCAATATAAGCTTAAAAAAAAGCTAGATACTATGAAATGAACAAACATTGTCCTAGAAAACCATAGAAAAAAATTAATTATTCTAGTCATTCATATGCAGATTTATTTTTCCCCCACTGTTGCAGAACTTTGCACATAGTAAGTGCTTAAAAAATGGTTTTCTTTTTAATTTTGTTTGTTTTTAAGGAGCAGGAATGAATGATGCATTTTTGCGAAAGTTTCTCTCCAGATGAATTTTAATAAATCTATGCATACACATGTGCCTGAAAGATCTGTGAGGTCTTAGCTGTTATAAGCATAATATAGTCAGTGACTAAGTCACTTACATTTTATAATCTAAAATCCTTTAGGGGCCTGAAGTTTCAGGACATTCCCACTACAGAAGAGTCTTCAAACAAAAATATTCATAGTGTTTAAAACAGCAGAAAAGAGAAAACAACATTAGAAAAAGTACTCTGAAGAAATTACAATGAAAGGGGGAAAAGCTAAATTTACATAAGACTTACATCTAAGGCTGGGCATGGTGGCTCACGCCTGTAATTCCAGCACTTTGGGAGGCCGAGGAGGGCGGATCAGGAGGTCAGGAGATCGAGACCATCCTGGCTGACACGGTGAAACCCCATCTCTACTAAAAATACAAAAAATTAGCCGAGCATGGTGGCAGGCGCCTGTAGTCCCAGCTACTTGGGAGACTGAGGCAGGAGAATGGCGTGAACCTGGGAGGCGGAGCTTGCAGTGAGCCTAGATTGCCCCACTGCACTCCAGCCTGGGCCACAGAGCAAGACTCCATCTCAAAAAAAAAAAAAAAAAAAGACTTACATCTAAGACTAGGATAATCTCTCTTACTTTTTTCCAACTTACTCAGTGAGAAGTGGGAAAGTTCAGTGAAACTATATTTTAAAAGATTTAATAAGAAAAAAAGGTAAAATTGTGCCATGTTTTTGCATTGTATCTTCATCTCCTTCCTGTAGTATGTTTAATATATTTATAATTGAATCAAAAACATTCCAGATTGAAGTAATTTTGTAATTGCTTTTATATTTATAAAATTTTTAATTTTGAAGTATAACTTGTTTTTAAAAACCAAATGTAGATTAAGAGCTTCCACTAGAGAAAACCTAGCCTAAGAAATATGTATTAGGTAATGATTCACATAGCTTCCTCTTTGTCTTAAAGCAACAGATGACATTATTTCTCTTAATTCAATCACACAGTCAATCAGATGTGCATTCTTTGCTCCTCTTGCTTCTAGTTCCAGAAGCATTAACTTTGCATCAGAAGCAAACTAAGATGTTTTATGTTTCAGTTCTCAGCTGGAAAGAACACATAGGGTTACTTCTTGGCTACCTCTCCCGGGAATGCTCCTCCTACCGGCTTTTGACTGTATCACAGTGAAGTAAATGGGGCTGTGATCTTTTTCATCCCAGTTTCCTTGTGTTCAGAAAAGTGGCTATGTCAGAGCAACAATCGCTCAAGCTCAAAATTTCACACTTCAACTGAAATTCAAAGAGATTTTTATTTGAAAAGAAGCTGAGAATACCACTATGTTAGTACAATATACCATATTGTATATTGCAATCCTCAAAGTCAGGGAAAAAAGTCTCTGAATCTATGCTATGAATTTTTCCTCTGCATTTACTCTCTCTCCTCTTCCATCCCTCCTCCTCCCCTATTGATGACTGAATTCCTGAAGGATACAGAAGACACACACAGCTGGGCCTAAAAAAGTTGTATGCATATATGGATTGTGTGTATTAAACTATTTACACTGGTGTGTAGGAGAAAGCGAGAGATTTTGTTGAACGATAAAGAGCTGGGAAAACAGAGGAATGGGAATTGAGAGTAATAAATGTTAAGAGCCTCAACAGCTGACATTTTAAATGTTTACAAACCACAAAATTTCCATTAACATAAGCTGTGTTATTATAAAGCAATAAGACACAACATAAAGGGACACACGTACACAAATAATCTCTATACATTTCCTGCATCAGAACAAATGGCACTAGATGACGTCTAAGATTCAGGAACGACTACCTTAGTCTTAGTTCATGTACAATATAGATATTTGTAGAGTTCAGAAAATGCATAAAGCATGAGGACATTTCCCTCTTAAATTGCAACTAATTTCTTCCACAGAACATTATGTTCTAGTGTTCCCTAATGGCATAGTCAACTTCTATAAAATATCTATTTATATTAAAATATTAAGCTCTAATAATGTGCTTAACTTTTTTTCTTAGTTCTCAACAAAATACATTAGTTCAATGCAGGCTCCTTGATTTTTCTAATCATGTTTGCTAATCTGCAAAATTTAGTAATTTGCAATGGATCTCCCGGTCATTAGTGTCAATTAAGGAGGCTCTCCCTCATACCAGATGGTACTGAGGGAACAGAACAAGAGAGTGGGAATAAAATGTGTTTTCTAAAACCCTCCTACATACCACTTTAAACAAAAACTGTGTGACTTTTAAAGAAAAAATATAGTAAGAGTTGAGAACGTAACATCTCATACTTGTGTAGCATCTTAAACCCAAGATCCAAGAAATAAAGAACTGACTAATGACACCCTTATAAGCTGGGTGTACAAAGACCATACGACAATGATTTCCCTTTGCATATAAAACAAAAATGGTAGTCCACACAGGCAAGTTCCTGTTTTCACACTGCCCTGTGCTTAATTTTAAAACCTCCATCATTCACAAATGAAGAACTAGCAAATCCTCCTTATTCCATCCTATCTACTTATGATTTGTTTCCTGAGACAGCAAGAAAAAACTAGGAAATAATCTCAGCCTTTACAAGGTCCAATACATTTCATTAACAGTGAGTGTCCCATGAACGGGAGCCAATTTTTCTTTTTCCTTTTTTTTTTTTTTTTTGTGAGACAGGGTCTCACTCATTCTGTTGCCTAGGCTAGAGTGCAGTCAGTGACGTGATTTTAGCTGGCTACAACCTCCACCTCCCAGGTTCAAGCAATTCTCATGCCTCAGCCTCCCCAGTAGCTGGGATCATAGGCATGCACCACAATGTCTGGCTAAATTTTGTACTTTTACTAGAGAGGAGGTTTCATCACGTTGGCCAGGCTGTTCTTAAACTTCTGGCCTCAAATGATCCACCCACCTCAGCCTCCCAAAGTGCTGGGATTGCAGGCATGAGCCACCACACCCGGCCTAGGAGCCAATTCTTATCCATCATTATGAGGTGTCTGCCTTAGTCATGGGCACATTGCAGGTTGGAAATAAGTAAATGATGAATGAGGGAATAAAGGAATAAATAACGGAATGAATGAATGCGGTCTGTCTTCATCCATAAATTTCTCTTTCTGACCATCCTAACCACAATGCTTCTGCATCCTTTTATGCCTCCTTGTCTTAGGTTAGGTTCCCTCTAGGAGAAAAGCTGAAGATAATGATTTCAGCGTTATAGCTTATTTGAGAAGTGATCCCAAGAAACACAAGTACTGGAGTGGGGAAGTGACAGAAAAGGAAGTTTATACAAAATATGTCAATGAGTAGATCAATATGGCACAGTGCACAGCTGGGGCTCAGTCCTGATGGGGACTTCTGGAAGACTCCATAAAGTAGGCTGTATAGTGGTCCCACCCAAGGGGCAATGAGGTTGGCTATTTATATGTCAAATGCTGTCCATCAATGGTTGAAGTCTGCTCCTGGAAATGTTAATAGCCAGGCATTTCTAGCTTGCCGCACAAAGCATTGAGAAAGAGAGAGTCACAGGAGCTTACAGGCAGAAGCCATGGGCTTGTACAGACAGTGAGTGCTGAGGAGAAATGAGCAGGATGGTGACTGGTACTATCCCATGTAACAACAGACCTTGAAGGTTTTTGCCACTATTCTGTATGACAAAAATGACATAGAACTAAGTTATGGCAGTCTAAACCAATTACATTTTTACTGGCATTTAGAGACAATTTACCTATACAGGTACAAATATGCATGCAGGTAGAGGCAGCATCCTGTATAACTCAATAAGCAAAAACTTAATTCATAACTTTCTTATTTTTTTCCATTAAAACCAACTCAGTCAAGACCCATATATAAATATCAAGCTATCAAAACAGGTCAGTTATTTTAAAAAGAAGGATCATTTGCTTTGGTGTCAGTTCTGTTAAAATCTGTGGAGTCCTTAGGGAAAAATGAGGCATCTCATCATAACTCTTGTAGGAAGATCACATTCCAGACTGGTCCAATACCAGAAATGGTTTTCTTGATCTTTGTAACCCTACCACATTAGATACTTCCAACCAATTTTCAGGACCCATCATCCCAATGAAATATATTTTGTTAGTATTCAAAAGTGAGAAATTAGCTCCACCTTGGCACATAACTGACTTTAGAACTTTCTGTCCTCATCAAAATAGCTTATTATTATAGCATCCGCAATAACTTGATTTTTTGTCCAGAATTATCCCACGTCTTCATACTTCACCTTCCTATTAAGAAAGTTTAGAGCTCTCAGTATGAAATGACTTAAGGGCTATGATTTGAAGGAGGAACATGCACCAAATAGGAGTTTTTGGATGGAAGAAATAATCTAAGAAAGTTTCTAAGTATGCTACTATACTTGAAGTCCACAGGCCCATATGGCCCCAACAATCTGTGTCTCTGCCCACATAGGAACTCCTGACGTGCTTCTGAATGTAGTCAGATGTTCCCTGAAAAACACACATATTTAGGGCATTTGTTAAAGCCCAGATTGTAGGAACAACCACAGGAGGGCTTATTAGTGTAGTTACTGATGGATATAAGAGTTACAAAGGCTGCTGCTGAATCTTAAATCTGACCAAAATCCATGTCACTACTTTAAAATTCATTCCATTTGCTAATTGTCATCAAATGTATTGCTATGAACACTCCTTTTTAAGATTTTCTAGTCTCCACTTTCTAGTTAAGGTAAATTTGAGATTCTCTTTTCCCTATTTTCTTTCTCTCTTGCTCTCAATTGAAAATTTTATTTGACAGATTAGGAAAAGCTAATGCTTAAAAAGATTAGTCAAGTTTTCCCAGGACACACACTTACTTAGTGGCAAAGCCAGGATGCTCATACACAACTGACTGCAGAGCTTAAGCCATTGTCCCCTGTGTCGTGTTTGCAGTGACAACATGACAGAGCCCAATATAGAGAGAGGGTGAGGGTTGTGGTGGAAGTATTAAGAAATTAAGGAAGAATCCATCAACAACTGGGAAGAGAGGAAGGGGTCACAGGAGAAAATAATAGAGAAATAAGGTAAGAGTCAATGAGTTATAACTGTATTTTGCATTTATATAGCAGTATCTTTTTCCTCAATCTTATCAATGCATTTTGTACACATAAATTATCCAATATATATTCAATATTTGTCCGTACCTACTATAATCCAGGTACTATTCTAGAAATTGCAGATAGCAAAAAAAAAAAAAAGCCCTAGGCATCCTAGATTTTTCCATTGCAATGGGGCAGAGAAATAACAGGCAAAGGAAGAAATGGACAGATAGCTAATAGAACATCAAGTAGTGAAAGATGAATCACATTCAGCAAAGAATGAACTATTAAATTAATGCATCTAGTTCATTCTTCCAGTTCTAGGTTATGCATGTAGTTCAAGCATCAAGTTTAAGTATCTAGTTCATTGTTGAATTAATTAATGAACTAGTGCTGTTTCAGATAGGCAGGCCTCACTGAAGAAATAACACTGATTATCACTTGGCTGTGATTGTTACTCCAAACACTGCTTCAGGGAGGCAGGAAGGAAAGAGAGCATTCTCATTTCCCTGAGAGGAATTAAAGTCCCAGCTCAGTGAAGGGACTTGCCTATTTTTGTCATTATAAAATCTGGGATGAACTAGAAAACTTCAGATACTCAATTCACTGTTAATAATAATTGTGTTTGTGAGTTTGTTTTCTATATCCATAATCTCCTCTGCCATATGTCCCTATTGGCTAGACAGGGCTTACCTCTTCTTACTCCCATGGTTTTTTTTTTTTTAAACTGATGAGCAAACTCAGGGAAAAAATTATAAGAAACTTACCCCAAAGTCAGAGAAGGAAGGGTCTAAGTCTTAAGTAGAGTTCATTCTTCAACCCTCTGTTCCTGTGTTCTTACTGCGTACTCCAGTATCTTCCGCTGGATCAACAGGCTTCTAGTAAATATTGATCCACTTTCTGCAGTAGTAATTTAAGGGAGTGGACATATTTCAACAAATGTCACCCACCATCCACTCAGCCTTCTTAAAATGAGCTGTGCTATATTTCAAAGAAATGTATGAACAAATTTCTTAGTAGTTTGTCATGTTCATCAGTCATGAACATTTGTTGATTTTTCTAGTCTTGGGTTTTTAGAAATCATGGATCCTTGTAAGAATATGATGAAGATTATGAACAGCCTCCCTATATGAATATAATTTCAGGAGGCACTTTGAGACATGTTCTTGAACTCACGGGGGTCAATGGACCTCCAAGTTAAGAATTTTTGATAAGGACTATTGCAATTGTGGGCCCACACATCCCATAAAAGCAAACAAATTAGCCAGCTTTCCTTAGTTATATCTTCTGCATTTTCAAATGAATGCAGTGTCCATCAGGAGATTAAGGGAATGGAGGTGGGGGGTGGTCAGAAAATGTACATAATTAAGAGAGGGGGCAACCTATGACCTGAGTCACACAGAGCTGGTTTATTTATGTGAGCTTTATATTCTAGGACATGGTGCTTAATGTCTTTGAACCTAGTTTGCTTATCAATAAAATGTGGAAATGGTCACCAATCATCTTAAATGAGATAATGTGTGCCAAGCACTGAGGACATTGTTGACACCTTTGTAAATACTTCAGCATTGGTCCTTATTTGGTTTATTGTTATTGTTGTCATGGTGGCGCTATGACTAATAGTGGGTTACCAATCCATCAATAAATTACTATACTTCACGTGATAGAATTTTGACAAAAGCTCTTATTTGGTATGAGAAGTTATTAATAAACAAAGTTCCAAGTTTTGCCAGAAGCAAAATCAGGGAAATGATCAGAAAATAAACCTCTATATGTTGCACATAATATTTTGTAACATAATATTATTTAATTGAAATAAAGTATAAACAAAAAAATAGTAATTGATATTTCAGATTTTTTACATATTTAAAAATTTTGTTTGTGAGCAAAACACATTTATATGCATGATATTTTAATTGGACACATTTTCCATCAGCAGGATTATGTCTCTATGTTTTGAAACATTATACAATGAAAAAAAGGATTAGCAGAAAGGCAAGAACACCCCCAAAATATTTTTCACTGCATCTGGGGATATGCTAAACAACATCTGAACAAAGATAGCTGACTTTTCACTGCCCCACTGATGCATTTGGATTTATCTACGAGAAAGATGAGACAGTCGGTGTTTATCTATTTGAATATATTTGCTTTAAATATTTACACCATGCAAACTGCTAGAGCATTTTGAGGATATTTTGTGAATTCCTCATAAAGTTTTAGTTCAAATGAAACTTGTTGAAAATGTCAGCTTGAATGAAACCATTTGTTGACCAGAATGAGCCTTATGTTATCAGGATGATGGGAAGTGAGGAAGTGTGTAGGTACAGATATTCATTCTAACTGACCTCAGTTTTTCTCACCCATAAAATAAGATACAATTGAGCTCCTCCAATAAAAACTGAGTTCTCAGTACTTCTAAAAGGACTCTTATTTGTTCCAGTCCCTCTGTTTTCTATAATCATCACATGGCAGATACTGTGAATTGTCCAAATGCACACTCATTCTCTTCTACTTTGTTAGTAACAGAAACCCCATTGTAGCCAGGAAAAAATACTCACAGCCCCTTCAAAACCAAATATGATCACTTAATATTTGATTGACAAAACATAAAGAGAAATGATTTGTGGGACTTCTGGAAAATCTCCTTAAAGGGTGTGCCCTTTGCCTCCCATTCCATGTCTCCGTTGCCTGGGGTATGGACCTGCTGGGAGAATTGGCATCGCCGTCATGGTGGGTTCATATGGGGCATTCTAGGGACAGCAGGGCAGTAAAATACATGCAACCTAAGAATCTGATGAGTGTGGAGCTTCTACACTAGTCTAGGACCACCTACCTCAGGATGTAAAAATGATAAATTTCTATCTTTTGCTTTTCTATACTTTACAATGGCAACTAATTCCAATTTTTATTAATTTTTATCAGCAAATCTCTTAAACCGATTTTCTTGCCTCCAACTTGATAGTTGGCTTTCATTGACCACCATTCTTTCATACACTTAATTCAACAAATATTCAGAAAAAACCTACTGCATGTCAGTTGCTAGGCTAGCAGCTGATGGTTGATCAAGAAACATAATAGATACAATTAGGGAGCTTATAGTATAGCATGGGGCAAACCATTAAACAAAGAAGCAAACAAATAAATGTATAATTATAAACTGTGGTGTAAAAACGGAAATAATGTGAGGAAGGTTAAAACAAAATATTGATTTAGATTGAAGTCCCAAGCAAGATTCTCTAGAAATGATATTAACTGAAACCAAAGGATGCACAAAGTCACTTGGAAGAGATTTTAGAAGAGAATAGCCTGCCAAAATAATGAAAACAAGGTAAGAGTTTAATTCACTTAGGAAACTGGAGGAAAGTCAGTAGAGTCAGCACGGCTGGAGGTTATAAGGTAATGAAAGGGGAGGCAAGAGATGCCTCTAGAAGGGCGTGCAGAGGACACGGGAACGAGAGTCTGTTGGTAATGCTGATTTGAAATTTTGTTCTAAGGGCAATGAGAAGATATGGAAGTGATTCAAACAGAGCATAAATTTATTTTTGTTTTAGAAATATTATTCTTGTTGTAGTGGGAAAAATGGATTGGAGGGGTGCAAAAGTGGAAGATGAGAAGAGAAGATCAGAGTTAAACACAGGGATCCAGGTGAGAGAAGCTGGTAACTTAGACCAAAAGTGATGGCAGGGGAGATGGAAAGGTGTGCATATTTGAAATCCATTTTTCTACTTGAGTTGACAAAATATTTAAAAAGATTAAATATAGAGGGGTAGTTGGAACAAAGGCATGATGGCATGAGCACCTGGGAGTAAGGAGGTACCATTCCTGGAATACAGAAGCCTGGAAGAGAAAAATGTTTGGAAGGAAATAAAAAATTTACTTTTAAACTGGTAATAGTTTTACCTCCTCATAAGACATCCAACTGGGAATGTCAAGAAGGACATTGGATAAACAAGTAGGGGGCTTTGAAATGTGACTTTAAAAAATGCGAGCCCCATGTATCTCTTTCCTGCTCAAAACCCTTCAATGCTTCTCATTGTCTACAGGTATGAAAACATTCAAACTCCTAAGCATGGCACTCTACTCCACTTACGAATAAGCATTAATCCACTCTTTCAGTTACATATCCTGCTACGTCTTCCAAATGCCCTGAATCCTGGTCACACTGGTCCTTGAATACACCAGTAATTTTCACAACTGGGTGCCTTCTTTGTTCATATTGTCTGCAGCTGGTATACAGTTTCTACCCCTGCCTCTTGCCCATATTTTTAGCCTAAAAATAGTGCCTATTGGAAGGCACAATTCAAATTCCAAATCCTCTGTTTTCCTTAATTCCTCTCTATTATTCCTTCCTCAGTATGATGTCCTCAGTCTACTTACCTAGGTATGCAGGAAACATTTTCCAGACTTAACTTGCCTTTTTTTTGAAGCCCATATTCTACCTGATGACCAAAAACAAAAACAATGTAATTTAGTCAGCTACAATGTTTCTAGGTGGTTTCTCAAACATAAATTTATCTCAAGCACCAAAATATTTTCAGTCGATTTAAGATTGTTTCAGTCATTTCAGGATCCCACACTGCTTCCTCTTTTCTCTAAACAGATACATTATATTTCCTTGGGTACTTAGGCACTGGGGAGTGGGTTACTTGTTATCTAATAACATCCTCCACATTGACTGATATCTCTTTATGTTTTCCAGCATCTGGACATCACCCTCATCTTTCCTGGTCCCCCAGTTCATATGTTCTTCCACTCTGCAGCCTCCTTCTCCCTACTTCAGGATGGAAGTCTCTCTTACCTTACTTCCACACACTCTATGACAGGAAAAATGTGGTGTTCTCTCATGTTGACACAGGCTCAGAAAATGTGTTGGGATTGTCTTGGGCTTTCTGATTCTTCCCTGGAGGCACATAAACCCTAGACATCCATTTCATTGACATTCCCATTCCATGGGGATCTTCTGAGACATTGCCAACCCCTGGTCTTCCAGCCAAAAAAAATATATATATATTCTGTCCACATCTGCACTACTGCCCAGATCCCTAGAAGGATTATCTGAGGCTTTTATCACTTGCCCTCTCCCTCCAGGTTTTTAGAACCCCCCCTCTGAGGCTCTAATTCACTTGCCTCCTCATTGACTCTTCTTCCCAGTCCAGGCTCCTCCAATTTCTGAGTAAGGGGTACACCTGTCCTCCCTGTCTGCCCTTTTAAATACATTAAGAACATGAACTTCATTTCAATACTCCTACCAGCCTAACTATTTGAAATTCAGAAATCCTGGCTCTAACGCATCACAAATCTTGGCTCAAAAGACTAATTACCTCCCTCATGGGTTTAAAAAGTCAATTTAGATATTCAAAAGCCCAAAACTTGGCTCATTGTTCCCTGTGTTCTGTGTCACCATTCTTCTAAAGTAATACTTGGCTCCTAGGGAGTAGGGGTGTCTCCTGGGAGTAAGGAAATAGAAAGTGAGGAAATGATGAGGTTTACACAATTGTAAAACTTAACTCCACCACAAGTCTTCCAAAGATAATGCACTCTGCTTATATTATAGTTCACTCTTTTTGAAAATCTATCCATGCTTTAAGAGAGGTAGTCTTTGAGATAGTTAAAAGGTCCACAGCTTTTGTGTCACATGGTCTCAATTTAAATCTCAGCTGCACAGCTTACCAGCTGAGAGGCTTTGGGCATTGTCATTAGCCTTTCTAAGCTTCAGTGTATTCATGATATTAATTGTACCAAAACTCAAAAGATTGTTATGAGAATTAAATTACATAATCCATATTAAGCACTTACAACAGTGCTTTGAAATGTAACTAAGAAAAGCTCAGAAAGGCCTAGTTTTAATTATTATTGGCCAAAAATATATTCCTTGAGTTTCAGAGCAAATGAGACCATATGGATTATCTAATCCAACACTGTCATTGTGCAGACAAGGAAAACAATTTTCTAAAAGACATGAAGCCTGGACTCACTGAGTCTCCTGACTCTAGTACTTTGTTTTCTTGCTTTATGTATTACACCACACCAGCTACTCAGCCACTTCACTCAGCTGAGGGATCATAAAGTCTGAGTCTATTTAAGGGATTATGTTGTATTTATTAGTAATAATCTCCAACTAAAGATGTACAAAAGAATAATATTGATGCTGAACACTGATCATGAAAATATGCAAGAACCTTAGGCTATGTTTGAAGACCCAAATCCGTGAGTCATCCTTTCTCTATATTCATGAAAAAATGCATTCAAAAGACATTTAAGGCAATAAATGTAGTTTTATTGCTGACTTGAGCTTAAAAGTTAATTCCTCATCCTTAAAAAAAAGTCTCTCAAACTCTAGTATTTATCTTCAGTAATCTAGGAATTCTCCAAATTTAAAAAAATATTTTCCTTTTGATGATAATCTAAGAATTAATAAAAGTATATTCTGAGTCAATCTTTTGTCCACCTTCTAACAGAATAGGGCCTATTTTTGTATGTAATGCATAGGGAAAAGTTGGTGCCAAGAGATTATATTAAGTGATATTGTTAATGTATATTGGTTATATGTTTAATTTTAATGTATCTTACTGAAATAAATTTTGGATGATTGAAAAATGACAGCAATCATTCCCCATTCATTGTGTATATTGTTTGTTACACATGGAAAACATTACATTATGTTTGCATGCTAATAGGAATAATAGATTAATAGAAAAAATCTGATAATGCAGAAAAGAGGTGATATATTTGCAGAGCAAAATTCCTTGAAGAAAATGAGTGGAATCAAATACATAAGAATAGCATCTTCTATAAGAGCAGTAGTATTGGATGCATGTAGCAGGAGGGAAGATATATAGGGACACGTGTATGTATTTGGTAAATGTGGTGCCAGCAAGATAAATAAGTTTTCTTCTCATTGCTTGAATATTTTTAGTAAAATAAAAGCAGAGCCACCAGATCAGTCCATTTTGAGATTGTGAGAGTGAATTCACTGGGAAATATAGTGGATATTGCCTGGAAGTGCTGAATACACACTTAAAGTTTAACCTAACCAACAAAAATATCCCTATAATAATTGGAAGGAATCATTGACAAAAAAGAGAGAATATGAATAAAAATGCAACCAAGCTGTGGCACTAAAAAAAAAATTTTTGATAAAAGTGATTTTTTGGTTTTTTAAAATATAATAAAGGGGTGAAGAATGGGTGCAGAAGAGCAAAAACACTTAGGTTGACGCTAGTCTTCTGAAGGTACCCTATTGCAAGTTGATGATGTGCTTGAAAAAATGGAACCAGAAAGTAATCCACTAAATGGCGCAGACAACTGACAAGTACAGAAAGTGGCAGAAAAATAAAGCCAGAAAATATAATCTGTATATGTCCAGAAAATGCTTCTGGACATATACTAGAGGCATAAAGACAAAATCAGTGTTTGAAAATGGTTGGCAGCAAGTGAAGATCCTGATGTAACTGATGTCCATGAGATATTTACTCAATTTCAGGAAAGAGAATGCCAGAAAATCCTAAGCATTTGTTAGGAGAAAAATGAAGAGTGGCTCCAACCATCTGACGATTTTTACAAATAATAAAGTATTGAGAGGTAAGAGTGAGCATTTAGGCCCACCTAGGAACTACTTACCATGTGGATATAATTTGTGAAAAGGTTTCTTTCAATAATCTAAAGCTGGAATCACTAGGGCCATTTTATCTCTATGGTACCAAATCCATGCTCTAGAATAACAAGGAAATAGCAAAGATTCTGTAAACATTGTTTTGGTGCTTATTGATAAGATATTATGAAACCAATTCCAAATAATCTTAGCAGACAAGTGAGAAGTAAAAGCAAATAGAGACATGGGTTCTTTTACATTAGTTGATGAACTAGATATAAGTAAAACATAAAAACTGAATCTCCAGCCAAAATTTTGAGAAAACCATGAGTATAAATTGAATAAATCATGATTAATGTATGTGGCCATAATAGTATAAATAGCAACTTTCAGGGAACCAGAGGCTTGCCAAGATGGGCCCCAGCTTTCACAAAGTTTCCAGAAAAAGCAATAGAGCACATGCAATTAAATTAGCCTTACTTCCATGGCAGGAAAGTTATAGGCATAATCCTATTTTCAGAAATGTAATCTATTGAGATCAAGGCAACATTAATTCTCAGTTATCTACTAGAGTTATTTGGGAAGGACACATAAATGGATGGACAAGGAGGAACTGGTGGATAATTGTTTCTGACAGAAATTTTCAAGATGTTATTAAGCCTCTGTAATAGAATCACATTCTGTTGACAAGGCAAGAAATGATTTTTTTAAGGTCTTTGTAAAATAGCCAGTTGAACCTTGTCTTCTAACCCACCTCACTTCCCACCCTTTCCAGAGTCCAAAGAAAATTATCAATATAACATAAAAGTAAGAATCTGTACATAAAAATATCAATAGGTGCTATTCACATTCCGAAAAAATGTCATGAGAAATAATTACCATACTGCAGTGCAATTGGGTCCAAAAGATGTCTTTTGTCTCCTTTGCTTAAGAAGGCAAGCAAGGGAGCAAGTAGAGGAGATTTGATCCATTTAACTTGAAAATATGAGAGCTGGAGTTGAAAGAAGGCCATAGTCCAAACTGGATACACTCCTCATGGTTTACTTTCCCCATTAGAATTCCACAGCTGCACAGAGGTGTTCCACACAGTCTCAGCAAGTGGAAGGATGGCAGGGCTTCCACCTGACATGAGGGTGTGAAAGTGAGGGCAGCAACAGTAAGAAGGCCAGAGAGTATCATAAACATACATTTGTAAAAAAATAAAAGCTAAAAAAGGCCAAGCAGAAAATAAATAGTAGATATACTTGATTTTTCAGACAAAAAATTCAGTAAACATGACGTCTCCTGGAATTTCATATTCAGTCTATGCCCTCTTCCCACTGTACTTTGACTCCAGGATCTCTGCACTTGTCACATAAGCTGACACAAGCTGGCCCTTCAGACAAAAGCAAAACAAGAAAAAAAAAACTTTAATAAACACACCAAATACGCACATGTGCGTGCACACATACACACACACACACACACACGTAGACACTGTATAGATCACATTCTGTGACCCATATTCAAGTGAGAGAATATAGAAGGAGAAGTTGGTTTAGGAGCAGCATTGATAGAGTTAATTTTAGACATGTTGACTTTCAGGTGCCTGTGACAGCCTGGGAGGAAATGTTTGGTTGGCACCTGTGGTGGGCTCCCTCTGAGGGGGTCCCCACTGTTCCAGGTCCTGGCATTCAGGCTCTTGTATAATCCCTTCATCTTGAGGAAGAGTGGACCAAATGACTCACTTCTGATGAACAGAATACAGCAGACGGGATGGGTTGACACTTCCAAGATTAAGTTATAAGAAGATTGTGATGTCCTTCTTGCTTGCCATTCTCTTATGCTCTCACTCCTAGGGAAGCCCTCTGCCTGATTATCTGCCCAGTGGAGTGGGCTGTACAGGAAAGAAATTTAAGAAAGGCCTCAGGCTAACCCCTGGCAAGAGCTCAATCCTTCCAACAATCATGAGAGTGATCTTGGAAGCAGATTCTCCTCCAGCTGAGCCTTTAAATCCACTACAATCAAAGCAACACCTGGATTGCAACCTTGTGAGAGACCCTGTGCTAGAGGACCAGCTAAGTAGGGCCCTGATTCCTGATCCACAGAAATTATTATGAGAGACTGTCTGTTGTTTTAAGCTATTAGGTTTTTGGATAATTTGTTACACAACAATAGATAACTAATACAATACAGTAATTGAATAGAGCAGTTTGGAACTCAGGGTAGAGCCTGATTTGGAGTCTGAGGTGGAATTTTAGGGAAATCAGTGTGTAGGGATGTTGAAGTCATGGTTAAGAATGAGATAATTCAGAGAAACTCTTTAATGAGTGGAAAGAGGACCAGTGAGCGAAGTCTCCATGTTAAGCAGGCTAGCTTACCTGCTCACAACCTCACAAAATAATCTCTTTGTCTTTCTGTAGGATTTTTTTTTGTTTTGAAACAAATTCATTTCATACACAGTGATAAATAAATATTCAAAAGCATGTCAACGTCACATAATTAGTGACTCTCTCTAAGCTTGAGATTATAATTTTTTATACAGCGTAATGAACACAAATATCACTCTGGCTGCTTCTTCTCAGGACCAACTATAAAATAGAAAATTGCTAGCTTACTGAGATATTTTTATTCTAGGTCAGAGTGTTCACCAAAAATGCCTTTGAGTTATTTTTAACTGAGGCTGCTTTCTGAGAAAAGGCAAAATGTCAGCAACAACCAGTTAAATTAGGTTTTTCTCTTGGTTCGTTTCATTTTGTATTTTTGGATCATGCATTATGCTACTTGGGGAAAACAATAAAGAATAATTGGAAAAATAAATTGCAGCTAAAATTAAGTAATTTAACCTTTTTCTTAAATGATGGTAGGAATAGTAAACCTCATACTATGGTGATATTTTAATCATCAACATTTTCATGCCAGCGTCAGCAACCCCTGCTGGCTTATGTTCTGTCATACCTGTGGACATTTAAATTCCGAAAATATGGTAGAAACCATCTCTATGTGAAAGATATAAGCTACTCATATAATTTATTTACATTTTTATAGCAACAAAACTGGTTATATTGCAACAATAATTTGAGAAAACTCTTTGGCCTTGCTGAGGTCCAAATGTTTGCTACAAAACTTAAATTTCCTGGGCTTCTTTTTTTCCATATTATAAAACAGATTGCTACAATGGAAAAATTGAGAAAATGACTGAGATTACAAAAGGCAGCTAAGTATAACAGTCAGAAATTGCAGACAATAAATTTTAAAAAGTAACCTTTATGGTAAAAAATAAGGTGTACTATTCCTTTGAATGAAATGGAGGCATAGATTATATAATTTTACAAAACCTGGAGCTTAGTAAAAAGTCTAACCTAAGATAAAACCCAGCAGTTATTATTTCTTCTTTTTTCTATAATTTTGGGTATGCTTTTGACCAGGAAGTAAAGATGAAGGACAATGCACAAAAGATTGCTCAGAGTCCAATCATCCCCGAAGAAATATCCTATAATTTCCATAGATCTTTCCTATTGGATCTTCCTTTACTTCCTCATCAATTCCACACTGGTGTGCTGATTTCCTCAGTTTGCCTCTTCACATCAACCCTCCATGATTCTTCATTCTGCTCTGTGTCCAAAGAGAATGACATTGATGGGCTGCATAAACCAGACCCTCTTGTCTTCTACCCCTGTTTGGGTTTGGCCTGTGGCAGACATTGGTAGGAAATCGGAGGGCTAGAACAAATAGAAGTCAAGGTATCTATTTCTCTGGGTCCTTTCCTATCACACCACAGGCTTTGGCTGGTGGCAACAGGTAGTTCCTGGTATTCTCTACCAAAGGCATTTTTCCTAGAGCTTCAACTTACTTCAGGTGTCACTTCCTTCCCTCACCCCTCTTCTCCTTTTCAGCATAGGATGTTAAAGTCCCTTCATTAAATTCCTCTCAATTATTTCATTTGGGTATATCGTGTACCATCTATTTTCTGCTGGGACCCTGAGTAGTGACATGGCCAACACATACACTATATAAATTGATATATTTATATAAAATCACCAAAAGAGTCAGTGACTTTTTTTTTTTTTTTTTTTAGGGACAGGGTCTCACTCTGTCACCCAGGCTAGAGGGTACTAGCACGATCATAGCTCACTGCAGCCTCAAACTTGTGGGATCCTCCTGCCTCAGCTTCCCCAACAGCTGGGACTATGGGCACATGCCACCACACCCAGTTAATTTTAAAAAAGTATTTGTCAACATGGGTACTCACTATGTTGCCCACGCTGATTGCAAACACCAATGGTTTTTAACTAGAAGAATATATATGCACACACACACACACATATGTATATAATTCCATATGTGTATAACTATATATTAGGTTATGTGTATATTATGTATACCCATATGGAAATACTAGCAGGCCATTTTTTTTTCTTCTTATGTACACTTGCTCTGTAAGTTCAAAAAATAAAATGTTAGGAAGGAGAAAGTGTCTTTGGGCTCAACAAATTCCCTTTTCTTCCAGACCTTAATTGCTAATTTTCAACTCACTTAAGAGCAGTATGGGCTGCAATAGCACTCTCTTCCCCGCCTAAAACAATGTACTCTATAATAGCAACATCCCAGTCTTATCTTTCAATTGATAAGTGACCCACTTTTAAAATGTTTACATCTGCAATTGGATACTTCCATTCTTCACAATTTACCAAGATATACAGACATTGCTGTTTCCCGGGGTACCTATTTGATTCCTGCCCACTGTCTACTACTCTTCCAAGTGGTCACGTAAATAGAATATAAAGGAAGTAAAGCACAGAACCATCGTCTTCTCTCTGATTCTAATGTCCCACCCCTTCTGCTGTGAGCCAATAAATAAATGAGCCAGAGCCTTATGTTCTTTTCATCAAGTAACGTCTTCACTCTTCACAGCAATCCCTAAAAATTCTGCACATTTTTCAACGTTGAATCTGAAGCTTGGTCTTTTTCTCCAGGAAAGGTCTCTTTTCAACTTCTCAAGTTGGCATTTAAAAACCATAAACTATGCTATGAACTGCAACGTAAAAGCCCTTTCCTACGAAATGTAAAATGCCAAAGTGATATTTACAGAACTGTAAATATCTTCCTCATTTAATTTGGAACTGTCATATGTAAGGGCAAGAAGTCACTCCTTAGTAGTGCTGAGGAAAATTAGAACAAAGTAAAATAAGTAACTTTTCAGTCACGGTTCACCCTCACAGTTTCAAATGTCTCTGTTGTGGAAAGTCAAATAGGAAACAAGTGTGTCATGGCAAGACCTAAGAAATCATTCTTCCTTTAATACATGGAAAATAGGCCTTGAGACTAAAATTTACCAGAATTTTGTCAAAGCTCCATTCCAAACATGAATAGTTATTAGACTTGTCTGGGCCTTCTTATCTGTAAAATGAAAATAGTGCCATTAACTACAGCTCTTGAGAAGATATTGTGCCTTCTTCCTAGGAGACCTCATTAAACGTTAGATCTTTTCTCCATCACAGCCTAGTAAAGGAGATAAGACATATCCAGACAAAACAAATTAGGCAGATGATACAACATTTCGTTTTAAAAAGTATAAATTCCTGTTAGAAGGGAGGTAGTCACGTCAAATATTAAATTCGGGCAGTAATGGGTAATGGGGAAAAAGTAGGGGGTGAGAGAGAAGAATTTTAATACTGTGTGACATGTTTTAAAGAGAACAAGATATGTTTAATGAAAGGAAGTCATAGTTTTCCAGCAGACTAAGTCACTTTTCAAAAGATCTTATAGGAGATAAGTCTGGAAAAGTGAGTCTGTACCAAGTTATAGATGATCTTGACAGCTTGGAAGAGCCCTCTAAAAATTTTGACCTCAAGTCGATAGGTAATAGGAAGCTTTAGTTTCAATGAGTTGCTATTTCTTTGTTTTATTTTTATCCAAATGCCTAGAGACAGGTTTTAGGAAAAACTCATTTGCAGGTTGTGTATAGATTGAATTAGAAAAGCAGCTCTTGAGGGTGAGATCAGCCAGGAGCTGCTGAGGGCAGCCCTAGCGATGATGATATGAACCATGGTGGATGCAGAAGAACCAGAAAGGAGCAGAGAAATGTGAGAGATGAATCAGTGACGGCTGTAAGGGCGGTCAAGTTTGTTTGAATTTGTTCGTTTGTTTCATTTTCAATCATATTCCAGTGAATATTTAATAATCATTCCTCTGTCAGTCTGACATTATGCTGGTTTCTTTCAGAGATGTCAAAGAAGATTTTTTAATGCTTTTTTTCCTTCCAACTCTTCTTTTAGGTTCAGGGGGTACATGTACAGGTTTGTTACATTTTTGTGTTGCTGGGGTTTGATGTACAAATGATTTTGTCACGCAAGTGAGCATAGTACCTGATAGGTAGTCTTTCTATCCTCACCCTCCTCCCACCCTCTATCCTCAAGTAAGCCCTGTGTATATTATTTCCCTCTTTGTGTCCAAGTATACTGAGACCATGTGGCATTTGGTTCTCTCTTTCTGCTTTAATTCACTTACAATTATGGCCTCCAGCTATATCCATGTTGCTGCAAAAGACATGATCTCATTCTTTTTTACAGCTGCATAGTATTCCTTGGTGAATATGTACCATCTTTTCTTTATCCAGTCCACCATAGATGGGCATCTAGATTGATTCCATGTCTTTGCTATCGTGAATTGTGCTACAGTGAACGTATGTGAGCATGTGTCTTTATGGTAGAATGACTTATATTCCTTTGAGTATATACCCAGTAATGAAATTGCTGGGTCAAATAGCAGTTCTATCATAAGTTCTTTAAGAACTTTCTAAGATGCTTTCCACAGTGGCTGAACTAATTTACATTCCCACAAGCAGTACATAAGCACTCCTTTTTCTCCACAATCTTGCCAACCTCTGTTATTTTTTCTTTTTTGACTTTTTAATAACAGCCATTCTGACTGGTGTTAGATTGTATCTCATTTTTTTATTTGCATTTTTCTAATGATTAGTAACGTTGAGCGTGTTTTCATGTGTTTCTTGGCCACATCATGTGTATGTCTTCTTTTGAGAAGTTTCTGTTCATTTATTCATTGTTCATGTCCTTTGTCCTTTTCTTTTCTTTTTTTTTTTTTTTTTTTTGAGACACAGTCTTGCAATGTCACCCAGACTGGAGTACAGTGGCATTGCAACCTCTGCCTCCCAGGTTCAAGCAAGTCTTCTGCCTCAGCCTCCTGAGTAGCTAGGATTACAGGCACCTGCCACCACACCTGGCTAATTTTTGTATTTTTCATAGAGATGGGGTTTCATCATGTTGGTCAGGCTGGCCTCAAATTCCTGACCTCATGATCCTCCTATCTCGGCCTCCCAAAGTCCTGGGATTAAAGGCATGAGCCACCATGCCTAGCCCCTTTGTCCACCTTTTAATGAGGTTGTTTGTTTTTTGCTATTTAAGTTCCTTATAGTTTCTGGGTATTAGATCTTTGTCAGATGCATAGTTTGCAAATATTTTCTCCCATTCTGTAGGTATTCTGTTTATTCTGTTGATAGTTTCTTTTTCTGTGCAGAAGCTCTTTAGTTTAATTAGGTCCTACTTGTCAATTTTTTTTTTTTTTTTTTTTTTTGCAATTGCTTTCGAAGTCTCTGTTATGAAATCTTTGCCAAGGCCTGTTTCCAGAATGGTATTTGCTAAGTTTTCTTCTGGGTTTCTTATAGTTGTAGGTTTTACATTTAAGTCTTTAATTCATCTTGATTTAATTTTTGTCTAAGGTATAAGAAAGGGGTCCAGTTTCAATCTTCTGTATATGGTTAGCCAGTTACCCCAGTACTATTTTTTGAATAGGGAATCCTTCCCCATTGCTTGTTATTATTGATTTTGTTGAGGATCAGGTGGTTGTAGGTGTGTGGCTTTATTTCTGAGTTCTCTAATCTGTTCCATTGGTGTATGTGTCTACTTTTGTATCATGCTGTTTTGGTGACTGTAGCCTTGTAAGTATAGTTTGAAGTCAGGTAGTGTGATGCCTCTGGCTTTGTTCTTTTTGCTTAGGACTGCTTTGGCTACTTGGCTCTTTTTTTAGTTCTATATGAATTTTGTAATAGTTTTTTCTAATTCTGTGAAGAACGGTGTTGGTAGTTTGATAGGAATGGCATTGAATCTCTAAGTTGCTTTGGGCAGTATGGCCTTTTTAACAATATTTATTCTTCCTGTCCATGAGCATGGAATGTCTTTCCATTTGTTTGTGTTGTCTCCGATTTCGTTCAGTATTGTTCTGTAATTCTTGTTGTAGATATCTAAACATTAAACCCAAAAGAGAACAAGTAGGTGAGTGTGGTGGCAAGTGCCTATAGTCCCAGCTACTTAGGAGGCTGAGGTGGGAGGCTCACTTGACCCTAGGAGTTTGAGGCTGTAGTGAGCTATGATCATGCCACTGCATTTCAGCCTGGGTGACAGAGTGAGACCCCATCTCTAAACAACAACAACAACAACAAGTAAAAGATGTTTCTGTGAGGAAAAATGATGAGTTTAGGTTCTCATATACTGACTTTGAGCTGTGAGGACATCAAGATGGTCATATTCAGTAGAGGGTTGAAAAAAAAATCTGAAACACAGAGGGTCCTCAGTTCTGGAGATATAAATTTAAGAACCAATAAAGTTGAATACTGAAGACACAAATGCAGGTGAGATCAAAAGATAAAAATAAAGAGTACTAAAGGCATTGATTTTAAAAAATGCCTATATTGATAAAGTGGAAGAAAGGCTATTTGAAGAGATATAATTAAAGAGCTCACCGGAGTAGGAAGAAAATCAGGGTATCATAGAGTATTGTGAGATAGTATTGCATATCATTTAAGAAATTACATACACTACAGTAAATCCAATAGTATGAGAAGAATATTTGGTAGCATGTTTGGTACACTTACTATTCAATAAATTGTGTTAATAATAAGAATAAAGTAACTTTTTTCTCAAAAAAAAAAAAGTGAAATTGATGAGGTGTTAGTATTGTTGCCATTTTACAGATCTGAAAAAGAGGCCAGAGATGTTAAGTACCTTTCTCAAAGAGCCGTAAGAGTGCTCCAGGCTCTGTCTGACTCTAGAATATGTTCTTAACTGGTAATAATTGGTCTTTGGTGAGGCAATTTGTACTGAAATTCCTTGGAAAATGATTTATAGTTAACACCTATTCAAGAGTGTATATTCCTGCTTGCTTTCTGAAATCTTTTGTTTTGCTACACAAATTTGGTTTTGCTCAGAAATCTGGAAGCAGTGGCTTAAATAGCATTAATTATCAAACATAAGTGTGGGTATCATCAATTAATTAATTAATTATTAATGCCCACACTTGGCCTCTAGTCCCCAGACATTTTGCCTCTAAAATGTTGCCTAGACAGCTTAAATTTGTTTTGTTAAAGGGTTCCTGGGTATACAAGAAAAGTACTAGAAATTGTGTTGCTTTCAGTTTGTAAAACATTTGTATTCTGGGCTTCCATTTTGAGATTAAATTCGGAAATGAATTAACTAAATTAATACAATTAGCTCTCCCTTGATTAGACACCTGCTTTGCTGAGTTATAAAAATATTGTCAACCAAAGCAAGTGCATCAACCACCCAAAAGAACCCCTTTTTTATTATGTTAGCTATTAACCTCTTAAGCCAAAATAAGGCAGGATAGCATACTGAAGATACATATATATGTAAACCTACACATCACATGTATATACCTATAAGTTGATTAAATTTCTACTCTTAAATTCTCTAAGAATATATTTTTCAAAATTTGATAAATACTATCCAATATGCCCCTTACAAGACAAACTTAAATCATTAGTGAATGTATTTAAAAGAAAGATATCAACAAACAGTAGTTAGAAAAAATAGTTTATATAGCTTTATTAATATCGAATTGAAAAAGCTTCAAAGCAAAAGGAACTTCAAGAGATACTGATCACTATGTGAAAATAAACATTACAAATTACCAGGAAGCTAGCCACTTTAAACATGTATGTTCTTAGTAACATAGCTTCAAAATTGAAAAATCAACTGTTATAGGTGGAGATTTTTAATACATCTCTCCCAGTAGCTGATAGATTAAAGAGACAAAACCAACAACAACAATGAAAATAAATTAAAGTTACTTGCCTCAAGATGGATGAATTTCAGAAGCACAATGGTGAGTAACCAGCAAATCACACAGAATGTAGATTAATGATGGTATAAGGTTGAGGGCTACAAGGAGGAATAGGAAGTGACTGCTAATGGACACAGGTTTCTTAAAGGACAATTAAAATGTTCTAAAATTAGATTGTGTTGATGGTTGCATGATCTGTGAATATACTAAAAACCACTGAATTGTATACTTCAAATGGGTAAATTTTATGGTATGTGAATGTCTCAATAAAGCAGTTTTTATAATGTCACAGAAAACTGTCCAGAGTGTAGATACTACTCGCTGCAATTAAGAGGGCATAAGAAAAATTTTATAATACATATTTTAAAATATGGCATTCATGGTAATAAACATATGTACAAGATAATGATAAGGGCAAAGTCAAAACCGTGCTGTTTCTTATCCCTGGCTGCTACCACAGTATGCTCTATTTTTCTGATTAGATACCTCCATAATTTTATTGTTATACTTTAAAATTTTACATGTTACGTTATGTTCTTTCATCTGTATACATTATTTCATAATTTAAAAACACTGATAACCGGTTTCATATCAATTCTAATCATTTGTCCTCTCATCAAAAGTCTAAATATTGTAGATACGACTACTTTTCAACACAAATTCACACATATTATCTCACTTTACCCTCACAAATAACTGAATCGGGAAACCAAATATCATCATTCTGGCCAGGCATGATGACTCACACTTAAAATCCCAGCACTGTGGGAGACCAAGGTGAGAGGACTGCTTGAGTCCGAGAGTTTGAGGTTGCAATGAGTTATGATCACGCACACCAGCCTGGCCAATGAAGCGGAACCCCGTCTCATTTAAAAAAAAAAAAATCATCATTCCATTTTTTAAATGAGAAAAAGAAAAAAGTCCAGTTGAGTTGATAAGTACAGAGTCATTGAATAAAACTGTAAATTCTTGTTGGTGGCAGAACTAGCACCCACATCTTTCAACTGAGCCGTGCTTTGTTGTTGTCTATTTCTTTAATTTTCTTCTCTAGAAAAAAACTCTGTGGAGATAATGAAAATAATCCACAAAAGTAACCTGCCACTCATTAAATCCACTGTCAGCAAGAATCTCTACTCTCATTATGTCATTTAATCCTTAAACAACTAACTCTGTGTTGTAGGTACTGATATCCTGATTTTACAAGTGAGAAAATGAAAACATAGAGAAATGTTTACTTACCTAAGATTATAAAGTTAATAACTGATAAAAATGTCATTCCAAAGCCCAGGCTTGTGTGGTATCAGATCAACATTTTCAACCAGCATATTATCTGGCTAGAATTTAATGCCAAAACACTGACCGCAGTTAAGAGGGCATAAGAAAAGTTTTATAATTTCTATGAAAATACATTAAATGCATGTAACTGACAATACATAATAATACAAAAATTAGTACTTTAGGATTTTGTCTCCTATTTTCCTGACATTAGCAAATGATTTACACACTAAAGAGAACACTCCCCACATTCATTTCCTGAAACTGATGAGTTTAGTTCCTAGATTTATAATTTTATATGTCTTTCTTAACAGATGAAATTTCTAAATTTCATTTATATCAGTATAATCTCCAATGCCTGGAATAAATAAATGTCTCAGTTTGGGAATGAAATTTATTTATTTTAAGTTGGAGCTTAATTGTTGTTTTCAAAGAAATGTCATGAACTGGAATATAGGGTAGGGAACTCGGTAAAAAGATAGGTGATAGGCTTCCAATATAAGATGAATCCATTGCGTTCAGACCACCAGTGTCATTCAAGGGACTGCATAAGTGACAGAATTTGTAAAACACCTATTTTTCTTTTAATTTGTTTGATTGTGAGCCAGGCAAACATATTTTTTGATATATAGGTGAGTCAGATAGAATATTTGGATACTCCTTAGGGTTAGTACCAAAATGAAAGAATGCAATACCTATCCCTTCTAAGAGAGGGTCAGTGTTAGCCCTTATCGCATTGCTGAATATCAAGCTCTAACGTGGCAAGTCAAATTTCCATGTTTAGAATTTAAATAGCACTGTCAATCATTACTTTTTAAAAAAATTTGTGAAGCACACCAACAGAAATGCAACAACATCCGCAATTTTCTGCTGTATTTGGGGGTGTTGCTGAAGGAGGGAACTTATGTTTGCAAATGACACATGCTCTGTCTCCACTTAAGTTCTTTCATGCCTCTACTAGGAACCTGACTGCTCCCATCCATCTTGAGAATAAAGGCTATATTATGGTCTATTCGATGTATGAATAGTGTTTATCAACAAAAGATTGAAAATTACGCTTTGCAATTATTCTGTGAATTTTTTATGTTGGCTTCATAATTATCAAGCTTATTTAATCATTCTGACATAATCAAATGGTAAAGAAGATATATGACTGTACTAAAGTTCTAATATTGTGTTTTTAAATTTAAAAAAGCTCTCGGCTGGGCGCGGTGGCTCAAGCCTGTAATCCCAGCACTTTGGGAGGCCGAGGTGGGTGGATCACGAGGTCAGGAGATCGAGACCATCCGGGCTAACACGGTGAAACCCCGTCTCTACTAAAAATACAAAAAAAAATTAGCTGAGCGTGGTGGCGGGCCCCTGTAGTCCCAGCTACTCGGGAGGCTGAGGCAGGAGAATGGTGTGAACCCGGGAGGCGGAGCTTGCAGTGAGCCGAGATCGCGCCACTGCACTCCAGCCTGGGTGACACAGCGAGACTCCATCTCAAAGAAAAAAAAAAAAAGCTCTAAAAGGAATGTTGGCTTATTCTGTATCAGTGGCCTATTATATTAATAAAGATGTTTAAATTTCCTTTGGATTATATTTCATTAAAGTAGATATTATACAGAAAAAAATAATTACTTTGGTAAAATGCCTGGAAAGTATTTATGTATGTTTGCTCTAGCGTAGTGTGTATGCCCAGTTTCATGTTACTGTTTCTTAATGGACTTAATCTCTTGTAGTCTTTTTATTAATTAATATATTTTAATTCTATTTGACTAAGCTACCATATAAAATGTTGATATATTAAGGATTAATAATGAATAGGTTATTAATCTCGAAGTTCAGTATATAATTAAAAAGGGAATAAAATATAAAGTTTGAAAATAAAAATTATTTTAAATCCTTTAAAATGTATCCATGTATATTTAAATAAAATGAATGTATACATGTAAAATAATTCTGGGACTAGAAGAGTGTAGGGACCACCGAGTTCTGACATGAAGTGAGGCTTTAAGATAAATGTTTGGGATTGTTGAAGGCAGAAGGAAAGGGCACCATAACATGACAAGCTTTTGGTGATCAGGCCACACTCCCTGCCAGGACTTCTTGTCTGTGGGATGAAGACATTCAGCTTTACAGAAAAACTCAAAGACTCTATTTTGTCCACTTTCTAAAACTGGATATTTGAGAATCAGGGAATCCTATTTAACTTCCTGCTGCCTCCATGATGTGGAAATAAAGAGAATAGAAGACCTCCGTATTGATGAGGCCCACGAGCTTAATTTGAACAGGGCAGATCCACTGGGTTTCCAGGATGTGCATATGTGATTGAGGTGACAAGAGTGAACTCAAGTTTTCATAATTTTAGGGGTAGATTTTTAACTCTTTTTCCATAGTAAGAAGGACCTTGGGGTTCCTAGTGAAACTTTAAAATTATCTGCTCTACTGAAGGCCAGGGCCAATGGGAATATAACTGTATCAGAGGTTTTCAGAGGCTTTGATTCCTGGAGCATACTGATCAATTGCAATGGAAGCCCTTGAGGAAGATATAAATCCCAGGAATTACATACTGAGTGGATTACAAAGCAAAAACTTTGTGAAAACTGCAAATGTGTGATGCTGCTTTGAAAAACGGGTCAATGAAAGACAGCTGGAAGACCAGTTTTCTAGCCTTGTTTACATCATGGAAATGTAAAGAAATAAAACCTTCTGGGAGAAAGAATAAAACACGAAAAAAGAAGAGTTTGGGAAAGAGAGATTAATGCTTAGGAAGCAAACCAAACAAAGTCCAGGAAAATAATCACATAAGTTATAGAGCCTTAAAAATAAAACCTAGGAAACACTGCAGTACCTCAATATGCTAAGGGTAACAGGTAGTATCCTCAGGCCGCAGACAAGAGGGGCTCCTGCTCTGTTTCTTATGCTTTATAGGGTCCCACATTATCATACACACATGCGTGCATGTGTGTGCTTGCACAAATGGATTCAAACACACATAGGCAACTCCTTACTTTGATCTTACACTCAGCACTAACAGAATATGACCATTAAGACACCACAGAAAATGCTTCTCCACATTTCTGGTCCTATGAGTTCAAGTAGGTCACTGAGTAGGAAAGCCATGAAGGCTTGCAGGTTGTGCTGCTGCAAATGTAAGAGAAGAGCATGGTTCCTAGTGAGAGGGATTTGAGTGTGTGAAATTGCTCCAGGAATAAAAATGACAAATTAATTTTCTTGTCAAACCTTTTCTCCCAGGTACCATGAAGAACTGAATTCCAGTGTAACAAAGTATCAGTCTCATTAGTGCCAAGCATTGATTTTTATTGTTTTGCTTTGTGTTCCCAATAATGCCCCTAGAGGTACTCTTGAGTTTGAGTGGTATTTACAATAGTTGCACATGATGGCTGAAAAACATTTTGTAACATTAGACAATTCAGATTCCTCTTGACTATGCATATGCTTAGGTCTACACATAACCAGATGGGCTTGAGTGTTAGAATTCAAACATTCAAACATTGTAATTTTTTAAAATCAGATTTTATTTTTTAAATATAAAATTATCACATTTACTTATATAATTTTCAGTTTAAATATATTTACTAATTTTAATTTGTATTTTCTTTTAATTTTAATATATGATTTGAATATTTTCAAAGAATATGTTTTTATTTGTATTCAATTTAATAGCACAGTACTCAGGGTCCAGTCAGGAAAACAGAATCCACACCAGTTATCTTTACAAAAGGAATTTAATATGAGAAATTTGTTAAATAGGTTTTAGGGGACTGAAAGGGGAAAAATATAACACTGAGTAATATAAAGTTAGCAACTGCTGAAAGAAGCTACCACTCTTTGAGTGGGGTGAACAAAACGAAAAGATTCGGTTTTTAGAACCTAGAAGTTTATGTGTAGCCCTACAGAGCTGAGACCCAAACCTTTTAAAGAATAATACTAACCAGACAGTGCTGGTACCTCAGGGGCCTGGAAAAACATCCTCACGCAGCTGGAACTAGTAGCTAAGGAAGCTATGCCAACTTTCTGATACTGGTATCTCTTTGGGGACATAATGAGGCTGGTTCTGAAATATGAAACCAAACAAACAAAAACAGGAAACTGAAAGCAACAACCATTGTCAGGATAAAGAAACATTGCCAAAGGGACTCTAACAAGAATGGGAAGTAAAGTCATAGGGAAACAAGCCCTTCTTTCTACTGTCTTTCCTCCTTAAAAATTAATCAAAGAAATTTCTGTGTAAATCTTCAGTAACCTAAAGACTAAACTGCAAGATTAAACAACAATCCTTGAAGAAAGCAATAAAGTGGCATGCATATGTAACAAGCAAGGGAAAAGATGCCCAGAGTTTAAATCCCTCATGCCTATAATACAATTGACCAGGAGTCCCTAATTACTTTTCTTACATTATCCATTTTATGTTACCTTTGCCCTCAACGAGAACCTCGGCTGGTTGGGGTTCTTTATCTTACAGGAGGAACCAAAACTTCATTCCTAAAGAGTCTGAAACCCTAGTGTTTCTTACCTGTTTGTTTACCTTGCTGTAGCTGTTCATTAAATTTTACTATCAGATATGGAAATATTAAAAGGGACCCCAGGGAAACCACTAGGTTCTAGCCATAGTCCACCACAGCCTCATTATGAAGGAGGATCTCAATTTCTTCTTGATAATTACCACAGCCATTAGAGAGCCTTTACCAAGCCTTTCTTGCCTATTGGTTCAATAGCATAAAAATTCCAATATACATGTAGCAGTCCAATTCAGCGGAATTCTTCTCATGACCACTGTCATGCATTACTCCTTTGAATATTAATGCTCTAAAGCAATGTAACTCTTAAGTTGCAAGGACTGGAAGCAAAAAAAATAATCCTGTGGGTGAGTTATTAAATGTATTAGTGAGAAGAGCCATTCCCATGTCTACCCCTGAAGCCCAGAAATTACACAGTGAATTGGTCACTGATTCAAGCATAAACTACATTGTTTCAGAGTACTGTCTCCCAACTAGTGTAATTGAGTGTTATTAGGAAAACATCTTAATTTACCAACACATAGATGAAATATAATTTTAATTTTTGACATATTATGTTTAGTATACATTTTTGATGAAAATATATTCCATTTTGAACTCTTTAACTGTAATTACACTTTATTTCATAAAACCTTAGATTATGTTGATTGCATAATCATAATTTCATTCTAGAAATAAAATATGTTTGAATGGAGCTCAACAAAAGATCCTAAAAAGAAAAGAAAAAAAAAAACAGAAAATCTGCAAAGAGTTGATCTTCTTATGCTTTACATATGCTAACAAGTAATGCCAGCTACTCGAGAGGCCAAAGTAGGATGCTCACTTGAGCCCAGGAGTTGGTAGCCAGCCTGGGCAACATAGTGATACTCACCTAAAAAAAAAAAAAAGGTGTAGAAAGCTAACAATAAAAGTGAATAGATGACATGCAAAATACACAAGTGAGATATTAAAAATACTTAATGATGCTTTAGTTACTAATAAAAACATAAAACAGTACAAATATCATTTAATTATCAACTTAAATTGATGAGATGAAATAAGACATATTATTTAATGTATGTTATAATTAGTAATTAAAGCAACAGAAATATAAAAGAGAACTACCCATATCAAATCCATGATTCACAACTAACAAATGTAACTCTGGACTGCCTGTTAGAAAATGAAGAGAATTATATTCATGCTGTTGGTAAATTGAACAAGGGAAAAAACAAAGGTTCTTGATGATTAACTATGTTTATTGGGTGGTATTTCTGGAAAGTGGTGATCATCATTTTGAGAGCATGAGAATATCTCTAACAAAACATAGTGCTAGTCAAATTTATTAATACAATTTTCCTTTCTATTATCCTGGCAGAATATTTATACTTATATTTATTCTATACCAAAAATTATTTCAAATATAGAAAGAGACTTTAGAAATGGGCTATTTTAAAATTGTGATAAAATATACATAATGCATATAAAATTTACTGTTTTATCAATTTTTTTTTTTTTTTTGAGACAGAGTCTTGCTCTGTTGCCCAGGCTGGAGTGCGGTGGCATGATCTCAGCTCACTACAAGCTCCGCCTCCCGGGTTCACACCATTCTCCTGCCTCAGCCTCCCAAGTAGCTGGGACTACAGGTGCCCGCCACCTTGCCCGGCTAATTTTTTGTATTTTTAGTAGAGATGGGGTTTCACTGTGTTAGCCCAGATGGTCTTGATCTCCTGACCTCATGATCCTCCAGCCTCGGCCTCCCAAAGTGCTGGGATTACAGGTGTGAGTCACCGCGCCCCGCCCATTTTATCAATTTTTAAGTGTACAGCCTAGTGGCATTATAAACATTCACATTGTTGTACAATCATTACCACTTTCCATCTCTAGAACTTTTTCAACTTTTTCACTATTTCAAAATGAAACTCTTTACTCATTAAACAATAACTCCCCATTCTCCACTCCCCCTAGAGAAATGTTCCTTTATATTCCAAATGCAAAAGCAAAGTATTTAGTTTCTACTATTAGATTTTTCACAACCAATCTTCAAGATCGACTTTGGACTTCATTTGTGTATTAGTCCATTTTCACACTGCTGTGAAGAATAACCAGGGACTGATTAATTTTTAAAGGAAAGAGGTTTAATTGACTCACAGTTCCACATGGCTGGGGAGGCCTCAGGAAATTAACTTAAAATCATGGCAGAAGGTAAAATGGAAGCAAGGCACACCTTCTCAGGGCAGCAGTAGACGGAGAAAGATTGCAGAGGAAGTACCACACTTTTAAACCATCAGATCTCATAAAAACTCACTCACTATCATGAGAACAGCATGGGAGAAACTACCCCCATAATTCGATCACCTCTCACCAGGTCCATCCCTCAACATGTGGGGATTACAATTCGGGATGAGATTTTGGGTGGGGACACAGAGCCAAATCATACCAATTTATGATGGGAAATATTCGAATTAGCAAATGAAAGACCAAAGTAGGAAACATCACTTGCACAGAAACACACACATACAAACAATTACTAGAACCAGGGGCGAAAAGAGTGAGAAAAACAATAGGAAATCAATAATATTCAACACAGATGAGTAAATGCCAATATAGAACACTTGTCTCATGCAACCAGAAGCACCTTTCAGGAGCAAAAAGATACCTGGGCTTCTGTTCTTTATGCTTGTACTCTAGGCACCTACATCAGTGTCAAGCTAAAATTTTGTTTCTAAACCATGTTATGTAAAAGTGCACGTATTTAATCTCTTTCTTCGGGATAATAGGAATTCTCACTTAGAGTGTCTATAGTTTACTCGAAAAAGGTAATAAGAGACCATTCAGTACTCAGAAACTGCAGAGTTAAAAAATAAAAGAAGTTTCTATTTGGAAACAGAGTTCCATTGCTCACATTGTGAAAGCCACTCTCCTGTGAGCCTGTGGTTCCTAACCACCATGTGGCCTGGCTGGCCGTCGGGGTGCTCACCCACGTTTGTGTGAACATGTGCATTCTCCATTTCCTCCTTTCCCATGGGCCCAGGACGTACATTGGCATATTAAATAATACATATGCCATAAAAATCACACAACTAAAGAATTCTTGGTGTTCAAATCTGCAGAGAAGTATCTGGTCTTTGAATAACAAAACCAAAGTTTGCTAGCCCACAATGCTTAGTTATTTTCTGTTTCTATTTTAGGTATAATTCCTCCCATTTTAAAAGAGCATTTTTTTTAACTTATGCGTGTGTTCCCTTTTGTGAAGAGTGAGAGAAGGTATTTCTTTTAACATAGCAGTTAAAAAAAAAACATGTGGCTGGGCGCGGTGGCTCACGCTTATAATCCCAGCATTTTGGGAGGCCGAGGCAGGCAGATCACGAGGTCAGGAGATCGAGACCAACCTGGCTAACATGGTGAAACCCCGTCTCTATTAAAAATAACAAAAAAATTAGCCGGGCGCGGTGGCGGGTGCCTGTAGTCCCAGCTACTCGGGAGGCTGAGGCAGGAGAATGGCATGAACCCCGGAGGCGGAGCTTACAGTGAGCCAAGAATGCGCCACTGCACTCCAGCCTGGGCGACAGAGCAAGACTCACTCTCAAAAAATAAAAAAAGTTACCTGTATTATTTTGGTGTGTTTTTTTTTTTTTGTTTGTTTGTTTTTGCTTTTTCTACCTTTTTCCATTTCATGGAAGAACGCTGTTAGCATAAAAACCAGGAGCTAGTGGGTAGTGACCCAGTGAGGTGGGTTGTCAGCCACAGATAAAAAGGCAAATACATTTAAAAGGCCATTTGCTTTCAATGACTTATTAGGTAAGAGATTTAAGCCCTTGAGTTTCCCCTACCCCCACCCCGAGGGCATTGTCTTTTACTCTGAAAGAAAAGAGAAAGGAAACAATTTTTCTTTTTTTTAGAGAATGCCAAACATAAAGTAATTTTTAAATTTATTATATTCTTAAAGGTTGCAAAAATGGATGGCATAAAGAACTGATAAATCTATCACTCAGTTTTGCCCTCTAAGTGACTCTAAGCGATTTAGATGAGGTGCACATTGAAATGGGAGAAACGTCAAATTGAGCTCGGATACCTTTGTCACTCACCTGGCAAAATTAGCTTAATTTTGTATGAAACAAAGTTTTGGGAACTGCTTTCGCTATTAACATTTTATGTTTAGACATGGGTAGGAAACTTTTATTTGCATGACTAGAGCCAAACAAACTTTTATATTATTCAGGAAAAAAGATACAGGCACAACCAAAGGAAAAATTCAAAGGATGTTACCAGGAAAAAGAAGGGGAAGGAATAGTCTCACAGTGATGTTAAAAGACACATGATTTTCAAAATGGAGAAATATGCACTTCTCAAGCTATCTATGACAAAGAAGAAGGAGAACGGACAGCCCTAACTCCATCAAGTTCAAAAAGTAGGGCTCTGTTGTCATTCTGGAGCCTTGACTCCTTATGGTTGGGGACCAGGTTAGGAATTTCTTTCTCTTTTCAGGTAGCTGGAAGTGGACTCCAGTAAAGCTGACAGAGAGGCCATAAAGACCTGCACTCTTCTAGGCCACTTTCCAGATGGAGGAAAGAACAAAAAAGAAAAAAAAAAGCAGAAAATCATTTTCACCACATTCAAATGTATAAGTAGAGCCTCAATTCCCATAAAGGCTCTCCTTATACATTTTATTTATAAATCATATTAATCCTTGGAAGCCAATAAGAGGCCAACTAATGCACAAGAAATGCTCCTTTATAGTATAAATGGATGACACCTAAAACTCTGTACAGTGCTGTAAGTTAAACACATGGACTGGGAATCAGCTTCTAGCATTAAAATGTTAAATTCAGCGGCATAACTTATATATACATACACACACGTGTGTGTGTGTGTGTCTAATGCTTTAATCAACCAATCATACTGGAGCAATACTAAAAAAGAAAATACAAGCCAGGTGCGTTGGCTCACACCTGTAATACCAGCACTTTGGGAGGCCGAGGCAGGTGGATCATCTGAGGTCAGGAGTTCGAGAGCAGCCTGGCCAACATAATGAAACCCCATCTTTACTAAAAATACAAAAATTAACCAGGCATGGTGGTGCGTGCCTATAACCCCAGCTACTCGGGAGGCTGAGGCAGGAGAATCACTTGAACCCGGGAGGTGGAGGTTGCAGTGAGCCGAGATTGCACCGCTGCACTCCAGCCTGGGTGAAAGAGCTAGACTCCGTCTTAAAAAAAAGAAAGTACAGAGCTATGCGCAGGTCATTTGTAAATGTCAACACAAGTTCATCACCTTAAAGAATTTTCCATTTCTTTTTCCTGTCTACCATTGCAGCCAAATAGTTCTGTATAATCTCATCTAATCATCAGTAAATTATATCTAAAGAGGCCAGCCATGCGCAGATTTCATTTCACCTACACTCTAATTTTACTCTCCTGTAGTATCCTTTCTTAAATTAAACCAGGTAGTTTAGAAAGGTATTTGAAACTATATTTGGAGTTAGTAAAAGAGCAAGAAAAAGGGCAGGACATTCTTGTTGTTCTCAGGGATACGAAACATGAACCAATATAAAACCAAGAATCCAGACTTCTGTGAAACTCCTCTAGAAAGGCGGTGATATATGGAGCATTAAAGGTAGTAACACAGTAATTATATTTCTGTAGTAAATAGCAATGGTTACATAATCATTGCAGTCATTTAGAACATGTTGAATGTATCAAAAGAGCCATGTGCATTTGTGTATGGATTTTCTGGTATGTATATAATTTCCAGTGTTTTTATTCAAAAGTTTGCATTTGAATCAAAAAGAACTATTTAACAAATTGTATTGCTTTCCTGTGAATTCCCAGGCACTTAACTGTTCTACTGGTGATACAGCCATGTACAAGCAGGCTTAAAATCCCTGCCCCTATTAAACTAAAATTCTGTTGCAGTTTTTATTCTCCAGTTTGGGTCAATGTTCATCTTCCAAATTGTGAATGGTAAATAGAAGTAGAAGAGAAAATATAATTAAGAAGCACCTTTAAAAATCATGTAGTTGTACTATAGTCCACTCATTTTAACTTGGGGAGTATAACTGCATAAATATTAAGACATATGAGGATCATCTAATATCAGAACAACTAAACATCAGTCTATGATAAAATTCAGCACGGCTCCGAGCTATAATAATCTGTAGATCATTGGTGATATCCAAGTTTAAGAGTTCTGGGGAGAACAGCCTCCAGCAAATCTTATGAGAAAGCTGAATATTTTTAAGAGTTGATTTTGGCTCTTTGTACAAGTTGAACTCTAATATCCTCAGGCGGCTCACTACTAACCTAACCACAGCTGTCACCCTTCAAGATTTGGCCACTTAAGATTATACCCATAAAAATACAGCCATCGAACAAGGAAATCCAATTCTCCAACCAAGATATAAACTGGATTTTCCTTTAGATAACTAAATAAAACTCAGTGAAAATCAGTTATAGATTGTTGGCCAGAGAGGTGGGACCCAAGGGCCCTACTTTCCACCAAACCTATATAGGTCAACCCTGTAGCTGCCTGCCTGTCTGCCTTGGTTACTACTGAGGGCAAAGATGGGGCTTTATGATAACCATTTGGGGGTTGCCTGATATAAAAGAAGAAAGTAATAAAACATGGACTTTATGACAACCTTTTGATTCTCAAATAGGGATCAGGTGCCAATCACAAGTAAATCTGAAGATGTCATTTCATGTAGCTTTCTCCATTGATTTTGCAAGTTTTAGAGTCTTACTACCACTTGTTGCCTCCTTCAATGAAAGGCCACTCCACGTGGAGTGGAGATAAGACAGCCTGGGACTTCCCAAAGGTCAAAGCCTTCTGGAACTTATTTCCATGAATTTTGGAAGCCTCTGGGCTCTCCAAACTCAAACTTTGTGACGCAGATGCTTTATGTTGTGGATATGAGCTGATGACAACAGTGAACTCAATGAAATCGAGCCACAAAACTTAAAAAGAGAATATGACAGGTCATGCTGATTGAAATTTATTCAAATATTCCAGCCTGATACAAATTCCATTTTCAGTGATGTACATATAGAAAGGCCACTTGTCATAAAAGCCAGATCTAGTATTTAATATCTCTTTTCCCTCTAATTTTTATTTTTTGGAGATGATACAATTAAACACACACACACACACACACACACACACACACACAACTTGTGTATAAGCATTGTATCACCCCTGAACCTTTTTTCCCCACATAAAATAAACTCAATGTCTTTTTCTCATACTCTTTCAAGAATTTTCATTAATTATATTTTGTTAATAAGTAACTCAATAATTTGTATTTGGAAATATTTAACTCTTATATTAAAATTGTTCAGAGGGAAATGTATTTCATAGACAAGATGAAATTTCCCCCATCACAACGTTATGAAAACTGAATTTCCTCTGTTTCACATTAATTTCTATACCTTCCTAATTTTGTTTAATATTGATAGCACTTCCACTACACCTGCTACTCAGGCTGAAAACTTCAGGGATTGCAGAATGATGTCTTGTTTCTCTATTCTCCCTTCTTTCCTTTCTATTTCCCCCAAACTTTCATCTGTATATCATTACTAAATATTAGGTAAAATATTCTCCTTCCTCTCTAAATTCCTTCCCAAGCTTCATCCTAACCCCAGTTGTTTGGACTTCTATACTGTGACTTACATTTAGTGCACATCCCCTTGTCACTGCCTTATTCTATGTGAGTGCTTGTTACAAAGATGGAACTTAGTCCTTTAATCCAACTCACTTATCCCTTCCTGGAAGCCAAATTTCCAGTCAACCTCTGCATGGTTTATACCTCAAAGATAAATTTTAGGTCCTCTGATTCTTAGGAATTGAACGGGAAGCATTTGGGCTTGACCCTCAATTGACGTAAGAAGTGGCACCAGTCTCAGCTCTTTAATGTTAAGCCATGCTCCCTAGTGCATTCCTCCAGGGGTTATTTCCCTCCCCATGCACCCCTCCCAACATGTGCTAAGTGCTTCTCTACAAGCCCCTTAGATTCTGGGTTTAGCATCCTGAATTTGCAATCCTGGATATGCTGCTCACTAGATTTGTGAACCTAGGCAAAGTGATCAGCATCTCTGGGCCCCGGTTTCCTACCTGTAAAAAAGGAAACACGGATAGCACTTCTTTCATACAGTTGTGAGAACTGAGTTAGCAGAAAGTTCTTAGAACGATGCCTGGAATCTGAAAAGCACCAAGAATATTTTCCATTATTTTATTTGAAGGATACATAAATTGGAAACATCTCAAGATTCTTTTTCAGTTGGGCACTCTAGTTCCTCTTTAGTGGTTTCTTCTCATGTGTAGTTTCCTGCCTATCCTCTCTCACCCCTTAAACTCAAGCACTATTCATCACTTTAACATACTGAAATGCACCTGCTCCAGGAAATATTTCTATACATACCATATATCCCTCCTATTACTTTGTTATTCTTAGTCCTAATTCAGGCAGGTGCATGCGCACGCATGCATGTGTCTGTGTGTGTACATCACATATACGTACACATACATATATAATTCATTGGCATAATTTTAAACAAGTATTACAACTGTCCTAAAATTACCCACATATTGGTTGCTCATCTCCTCAATTAGATTTTAAACTCTCTATCCGCTCATTTTTCCTATCTAGTCCAGGACTGTAGCAATAGCATACTAATTCATTTTTAAAACTCTTCCTTATTATGTGCCAGGTACAATTACATGGGACATTACGCTTAATCCTCACAATGACCCATGAGGTGAATATTATTACCCCCACATTGATGAGCAAACTGAAACCTTGAGACTACATAATCTGCTCAGGCAGGACTTAAATCTGAGCTTTCCAGGCTCTTAATAATTTTCTTTCCTACAGCGAGTTTACCTACAGTACTTAGAAAGCACTTATAGAGAAAAGAAGTGACTAATCTGAATGCTGTCATGAAGTAACATGATCTTCTCTTAGACAAGTCCAGAGAATTAAATTTTAAAAGTTTCTGTACTTATAGGAGTATAAGTTTTAAAGTCTGACTGACTTATGGTCAATACTTGGCTGCAACAATTCCTGATGGCATGAGCTTAGGCAAGTAATCTAATCCCTCTAAGACTTGGTTTCCTCATTGATAAAACAGGATACTATCAACCTCAAAACACTTTTTAGGAATCAAATGGACAAAACCATACAACGCACATAGCTTAACTCTTTAAAACAACTCAACACAAGTGTGGAAAAAAATTCCATGGAACACTTAAAGGTGGACTGATGTTTGAGATGAAAAACAAAACAAATATCAGAAGTATTTGGAGAAGCCGAAGTGGGATGACATGGAGGGTAGGGGATGTGGGCGAATTTGACGTAATTAAGTCTTTATCGCATAAACCTAGTTCTGCCTTTATATTTAAAAATTAACATGGTTTATCATTTGTTTCAATTTTCTCAAGTATGTAAAGTGTAAGGAAATCTAAGGATTCATTATACAGTTTTGGTTCTGTAGAGTTGTCATGGAAATACTCTATTTTGTTTATCTTACTTATTTATATATTCTTCCTCTCCACATACACAGATAGCTTGTCTCTGAAAGGCAACCAGTTTCACAATTCAAACGAAAAGATCTCCTCCCACCTCCTGGAAGTAGAGATGATCGAGCTTGGGTTTCAGTATGACGGCTCATACTGAAGAAAGGAAACCAAAACAACAAATTAAAAATCATGAGAAAGCAAAGAAATTCTAAGTTCCTCTTACATTTATAAACCTACTTCTGAATATCCTCAAACGACTTTCTTAAAACTGAATTCATTCTAACGCTATGAGTCATTAATGTGGTAAAATAGTAGAAAACAAATTTCAAAGTGACATAATCTCATAATCTTTCCTTGTCAGACTCCCATGTCATCTCCTAATTGTTACTGTATACAATCTACACTGGAGAAGGGATGGCATGAGTAGGTGACCAAAAGGATGCACCTTCTAGTGCCTTCCTAGGCGATCGGGCAAGTGGACTTCTGCATGTATGCCATGAAGAGTATTTTATATACAAATGATGATCACAGTAAACTGACTGATAGAGATAATTTTGACATGTTTTATTTTAATCAATAGTAAGGTTATTAATTAGCTATCTTTCACAATAGAGAGCTTTGGCCTCACAGACTTGTATCATCAGTTCCATGTATCTTCACTTTCTCAAGAGTCCTGAGCATCCCCAAATCAAAAACGAAATTATCTTTGGCAAGAGTAATATGCTGTTCAAAAAAGGATAATGCTTGATACAAGTTCTTGGTCATCTAAAGTTTAATATTAAATCTTGCCCTTATCAAAATATTAATACTGCTTCACAGAATAAACATGGTCTTATTACCCACAAAGGGAAATTTCTTTTTATTTTTTTCAACCCACTGTAGCAATACTGCTATTCTTAAAGATTGTGCTCAAATTTGTAATATAATATTCTTATCTCCTTTCATCATACTGCAATATATTTTTTCATGTGGATAAGACTTATAGGACTACAGTGTCTCTCTCTTAGTTGCCATATTCAGAAAAAGAGTATTTTGATAGCTTTCAATATTCTAAAAGTTTAGTGCAGGTGTCAAATTTAATTAAAATAAGTGTGTATAAGTAAAAGTTGTAGAAAATCAGGCTGAATATAATATATTGATACTGGATCTTCTATTTAAAAGGTCATTTTCAACTTAAAATAGAGATGCTGAAAAATCCAATTTTCTGATACCTACTAATTTTCCTGCAATTTTCTTCTTAAAAATTCAATGAAGATGGCAATCTTATCAACTGAGTATATTTTTATTGAATATATTTTTGCATATTCTTGCATATGTATGTATGAATGTACATATTTAACACGTCACACATTTACTTCTAGTAGAGTGCCTGACATATATGAGTGGCTAAATAATATTAAATAATTTTAAATACTGGAATTTAGATCTTTAGGGTGAGGGAGGAGCATCTAATAATGTTTTCCTTAAATAAAAATATTTAATTATACAGTGAAAGTGGGCCATGAAAATGTCTTAAAAATTCTATCTAGTTGACAGGACATATTTTTCAATATTATTTAAAGAAGAAAATATTGGAAAAAAGTTCTGTGCAGCTCAAATATTTAGATAAATCTATAGAGTGAACTTTAATAATTAAATATAGCCTAGTGGATAGTTAATATAAAGCATGATGCAGTGCACACTTTTATATCTTAATATTTTTTCTTTTATGTTTGCATTGCTCTTCTAACATAGTCCATGCCTATATTAAACATTAGATACCAGAAAAGTATCTGTTTTGAATAGAGAGGCTTTAAAAGCCTAAACTCTAGATGAGAGTATGTTTTGTTCTTTATCTATGCATTTTGGTATTATTTAAACATGAATTTAATGACCAATGCAGGCAAAATATGCACTTATCTAGTATATGGGTTCCTACACAGCATTCGCTTTAGGTACTCACCTACTTTAATTCCTTATAAAACAATATTACTAGTAGTCAGATTTCACAACTCACGCTGCCTTTAGAACATCAAACTTTTTTTATTACTGTCACTTCATTACCTTATTCTAAATCATACCAACGTCCTGTGACCTATTTCATGAAAGGCAGAAATTGTCAGGAATGAACTATCATATTTAAAATCAATATATTCCCTAAAGCAATCTTCTATAAGTCCTTTACCTCCTTTTAGTTGTTGCTGTTAAATCAACTAGGACCTCCCTTTTAATTGATGCTTTTGTACTTTTAGTGACTCTTCTAACAATGCTTCTATTATTGGGCATGTGTTTTGAATAGGTTCCTTTTCATGGAGTCATTGGAATAACTAGGAACAAAAATAATAAATTTGATGTATTGGTTCACTGGAGATTTAATTTTCTGTGGATCCCTGCTTTTACATTTAGTTAAGGTTTAAGAGCTCAAAGTATTATTCTTGACAACATGTTAAATGTTTGAGGTATGGATGTATAATGGAATAATGCAATAAATGTCTTGTGTCCATATTGATTTTTTAGATGAATCTGCTTTGAAAATTCTGGCACCCAGCAGCCCAATAGTATTTAACCATGGTAACCTTTGAGTTTTTTTAAAGAGTGTGGCACTTCTATACTCAGGTGTAATCCCCAGCAGACTCTTAGCGAGAGAAGGAGAATTGATCCTAATCCTCTCGTGCCCTAAGGTCATTTCAAGGAATCAGGCTCTCAAGGGCCACACTGCCAGGAGAGCTAGGCAGCACCAACAAGTCAAGCCACAGTGTGATGTTTTCTACATTGTCTGGTATTACTTTCAAGAAGAAAGTGTTCCTTAAGAATGAAGGAATGACTGGCGCACATAGCTCTGCAACATGTGACAAACAGCAAGCACTATTTCATGCCTTCACATGAGACTTGTTAATACAAGTTTTTTGATGACTTTATGAGATCCCTTAGAAAGTTGGATAAACTAATAAAACAATGAAGGCAGTCTGCCTTCACTGAACATAACTGAAGGACCAACAACATGTGGAAAATCAAGGAAAGTATTTATCGTGCATGGTAGATGCCTCAGGATTCATGCATACATGTGATAGCAAAGACAGGCTGTGAAGGGAACGAACAATTGAAGGAAAATAAGGGCATGTTATCTCTCAGGGTCTCCTTCATTTTCAAATCTCTATACTTTCCTGGTCCACATCCCTGGCATGCGTTAAAGTGAGTAGCTTCCTAAAAGGTCCCTTATACCTGTCAAAATTTCAAAACAGCTGTGGGAATCTTTTTATATAGCTTTCATTTTCCTAAGGTTCAACACGAAGGGAGGGAAGGAAGGACAGAGAAAAGAAAGAAGGAAGGAAAAAATGAATGAACAAATAAAAGGATAAACAAACTGGTCTTTAGTGAGAAACTTTGATGAAAGAAATAGAACCACCAACTATATTACAACATAGCTTTTTTTTTTCTTTTTCTTTCTCAGCTTTTATTTTAGGATCAAGGGGTACACGTGCAGGATTGTTACAGAGGGATATGGTGTAATGCTGAGGTCTGCGGTATAACAGAAACTGTCACCCAGATAGCAAGCACAGTACCCACTCGTTAGTTTTTCTGCCTGTGTCCCCTTCTTTCCTCCTCCGTTTTGTATTTCCTAGTGTCTATTGACCTCTCTTTACGTCCATGTGTACCCCACGTTTAGCTCCAATTTATAAGTAAAAACATGCGGTATTTGGTTTTCTGTTACTGTGTTAGTTCACTTAGAATAGTGGCCTCCAGCTGCATCCATGTTGCTGCAAAGGACATAATCTCATTTTTATTATGGCTGTGTATATGTGGTATATACATACCACATTTTCCTTATCCAATCCATGGTGTATATGTACCACATTTTCCTTATCCAATCCACCATTGATGAGCACCTGTGTTGATTCCATGTTTTTGCTATTGTGAATAGTGCTGCGATAGACATACGGGTACATGTGTCCTTTTGGGAGAAGGATTTATTTTCATTTGGATATATACCCAGTCATGGGATTGTTGGGTTGAATGGTAGTTCAACTCTTAGTTCTTTGAGAAATCTCCAAACTGCTCTTCACAGCAGCTGGACTAATTTACATTCCCATCAATAGTGTATAAGTGTCCCCTTTTCTCCACAGCCTCATCAACATCTGTTAGTTTTTGACTTTTTAAGAAAAGGCATTCTGACTGGTATGAGATGCTATCTCATTGTGCTTTTGATTTGCATTTCTCTGGTGATTAGTGATGAAGAGCATTCTTTAATTTCTGTTGGATGCTTGCCTTCCTTTGAGAAATGTCTGTTCATATCCTTTGCCCACTTTTTAATGAGGTTATTTGTGCAATTTTGCTGCTTTTTATTTCTGTTTTCTCTTGGTCACTTATCAAGGAGCAATTTTCAAAAAAAATCATAACAAAAAGCAGTGGTATCCTTCTTTTTATGTTAAGTATTTCTGTTTATTCTGATGATTTAGGACACAGGTGATTTCAAGTTCATCTTTAGAGCATGTTTTATTTTTTATTACTTTCTTTCCTTTAAAGAGCTGAAAGTAGAAAATTATTGGGGAAAATTATCTTCTATTCATGTTTCATTGTTAAATGTATTCATGTCAGTTTGGCAAAATCACTTTCATCATCCTGAACTGATTTCACTAATATTTCCTCCAGATTGCTTCCATATTACGAGTTATATTTTGACATGCCGCATTCGCTGTCTTTTAGGGCCCTCATCCACACATTCAACAAAAATTTCTTGAGTGTCTCAGTCTGTTATGTGCCCACACTTGTCTAGCCCATGGGGTTACAGCAATGACCCAGGAACCCTTGCTTTCAGGTACTTAAGGGGCTGATTCAATAGCACAGTGATCCAAATCATAAATATCCACTTTGTACAAAACCTTTTCAATAACATCTAAATCATTAGGCACTTAATCATACATTACTGCTCTTTCTTCAGAGCACCATAAGTAAGCAATTGAGAAAAATAATTCTAAGTCATTTTCCTGAAATAGGAAAAAAATGATTTTTATAAACTTCTAAACTTTGCTTCTAATACAAGTACATGTTAGTTTGTTTGCTTCTAATTTTTCAACTTGGTAAAACATCTGTAATGTTAATTGGATCATTTGTCAATTGTCAGCATGTTTTTTCAAATTTAAATTCTCTTCTCAGCATTCATTTGTCATATCATTTAATATTACAGGGTGCACCCTTTTAAACTGTGTGCCCTACATACAAAACCATCTAGCATAAATAATACCTGAAACCCAGAGTAACGTTAAATTCTTCAACTAATAGAATTGAGCCCTATGAAAACAATATGTAGGCCAGTGAAAATAAGTTTGTTTTGGACAATCCTGACCCCAATAAAAAACTTTCTAGAGTAGAAACATTGTCCAAATCTACAGCAGTGGAAACCAACAGTAACTTTTAAAATTCATGTGTACCTTTGGCTTAAATTTTATTGGATTAAGTGGCATTTAAGAAGAAAAATACATTCTGTGTTCCTTTCACACTATTTCACTACTGCCAACAGATTTTAAACTTAAGCATGTTAAGCTTAAGTTTAAACTTAAGATTTTAAACTTAAGCATGTTGAGCTTAAGTTTAAACTTAAGATTTTAAACTTAAGTGACCCCCCCCTCCAAACAAAGCATTACGACTATGAAGGACTCTAAAGCAATTTTGTAAAATGTTAGTTGAAGTCTCTGAGGCTGCTAAAGGCCAAACATATGGAAGTTTATTTTCCATTTTTACTGACTGTAGTTTTATCCAGACCAATGGGCCTCTTATTTCATAGTATTTTCTCAGTCCATTGCTCTAAGTTCTTGGCTTTCACCACAATCAGGATGATGGAAGAAAGCAGAGCTACAATTACCACTGTGAGATCCTATCTGACACACTACTTTCCAAACTGCTATAGCGCCTTAGACTGTCTTTGACCTTTTCCTCATCTTGGTGAGCTAAGAAGAAGAAACTCTCCCTGAGCTGTTATTTTTCTCCTCAGATCCATAACTTGTAAAGCCTTCACACTGAGATATCCTGATCTTAAGAGCATACAATCACAATCTATTACCCCAGAAGCTTCCTGGAGATTCTAGGTTACTGCTTTTGCTGCTTTTTTTTTTTCTTTTTAAAGTAGTACAAAACACTGGTTAGCAGTTGTTTCAAATCAGAAATCAGTCTAGCTAGTGAATTTTATCTGACATAGCATAAATTCATGACTGTGCTGTTTTTGTCTTGCTGAATAAGGACATATTGCAAATAATTGGAGTGAGGAAAAGTTTCATTGTTTTCTTCTTTTATGTTCATGTGTTCTTATACTTTGCTGTAATTTATGAATATACTGCCTTGTATTGTTTCATTATATTGTCTCGCTGTTGGAGTAAGGAAAAGTTTCCTTGTTTTTTTCTTTTATGTACACTTGTTCTTTTCTTTTATGTACACTTGTTCTTATACTTTGTTGTAATTTACGAATATACCACCCTGTATTGTTTCATTTATATTGTCTCTCTAGGTGGACTATAAATTCCTCAGACCAGTGAAGAGATTTTATAATTTGTAAAAGCCTCTTTTCATGTCCGACACTGAATAAAATGTAATAAGTAAAGCCTTTCTGAAATAACTAATTGGTTAATTAAATGACCATTTGCTTTGAAAGAAACAAATTCTATAATAATTATTTATAAAATCAAGCATTTTATTTCCAAAGCATCAAAATTAATTTTGAACAAATTCATTAATATTTGTAAGGTAGAAAAATAAAAGAGGATACAAACAAATGGAAGAACATTCCATGCTCATGGGTAGGAAGAATCAATATCGTGAAAATGGCCATACTGCCCAAGGTAATTTACAGATTCAATGCCATCCCCATCAAGCTACCAATGCCTTTCTTCACGGAATTGGAAAAAACTACTTTCAAGTTCATATAGAACCAAAAAAGAGCCCGCACTGCCAAGTCAATCCTAAGCCAAAAGAACAAAGCTGGAGGCATCACACTACCTGACTTCAAACTATACTACAAGGCTACAGTAACCAAAACAGCATGGTACTGGTACCAAAACAGAGATATAGATCAATGGAACAGAACAGAGCCCTCAGAAATAGTGCCACATATCTACAACTATCTGATCTTTGACAAACCTGAGAAAAACAAGCAATGGGGAAAGGATTCCCTATTTAATAAATGGTGCTGGGAAAACTGGCTAGCCATATGTAGAAAGCTGAAAGTGGATCCCTTCCTTACACCTTATACAAAAATCAATTCAAGATGGATTAAAGACTTAAATGTTAGACCTAAAACCATAAAAACCCTAGAAGAAAACCTAGGCATTACCATTCAGGACATAGGCATAGGCAAGGACTTCATGTCTAAAACACCAAAAGCAATGGCAACAAAAGCCAAAATTGACAAATTGGATCTAATTAAACTAAAGAGCTTCTGCACAGCAAAAGAAACTACCATCAGAGTGAACAGGCAACCTACAAAATGGGAGAAAATTTTCGCAACCTACTCATCTGACAAAGGGCTAATATCCAGAATCTACAATGAACTCAGACAAATGTACAAGAAAAAAACAAACAACCCCATCAAAAAGTGGGCGAAGGACGTGAACAGAGACTTCTCAAAAGAAGACATTTATGCAGCCAAAAGACACATGAAAAAATGCTCATCATCACTGGCCATCAGAGAAATGCAAATCAAAACCACAATGAGATACCATCTCACACCAGTTAGAATGGCAATCATTAAAAAGTCAGGAAACAACAGGTGCTGGAGAGGATGTGGAGAAATAGGAACACTTTGACACTGTTGGTGGGACTGTAAACTAGTTCAACCATTGTGGAAGTCAGTGTGGCGATTCCTCAGGGATCTAGAACTGGAAATACCATTTGACCCAGCCATCCCATTACTGGGTATATACCCAAAGGACTATAAATCATGCTGCTATAAAGACACATGCACACGTATGTTTATTGCGGCATTATTCACAATGGCAAGACTTGGAACCAACCCAAATGTCCAACAATGATAGACTGGATTAAGAAATTGTGGCACATATACACCATGGAATACTATGCAGCCATAAAAAATGATGAGTTCATGTCCTTTGTAGGGACATGGATGAAATTGGAAATCATCATTCTCAGTAAACTATTACAAGAACAAAAAACCAAACACTGCATATTCTCACTCATAGGTGGGAATTGAACAATGAGATCACATGGACACAGGAAGGGGAATATCACACTCTGGGGACTGTTGTGGGGTGGGGGGAGGGGGGAGGGATAGCATTGGGAGTTATACCTAATGCTAGATGACGAGTTAGTGCGTGCAGCGCACCAGCATGGCACATGTATACATATGTAACTAACCTGCACAATGTGCACATGTACCCTAAAACTTAAAAGTATACTAATAAATAAATAAATAATAAATAAATAAAAATTGTTTGCATTTTTCTGTGGTAGATAATACATATTATACTCAGTTATTCATAACACATATACACTATACATATGAAATATAGATATACAAATATATCACAATACTATCAACTAAGTTGTGAAATCATGTGGCATGAAATGAACCAAGTCCTCTTTAAATTGTAAATACAGAATACTGTGTGTTTTTATCAAAGGAAAATATTTATAGTCTATCTATTCTCACATTCCTAAGAGTTATTCAAAATCTTAGCATTAAAAGTCTCTAAGAATGCAGTTGTATATCCAATGAAATCGATTGTTTTATCTAATCATCTAGATAATGGCTTAACTTTCTGGGTAAAATATAAACTGGCTGGAATCTTTGTTTATTCCCCGTGGACAGCAAGTCTCTGACTGTTTTGTTTTTTTGTGTAATCCAAACACCGAAAACAGTGCATGGTGCTTAATAGGAACTCAATAAATATTTGTTGAGTAAATGGCTTCTTATTGTGTACAAAAGAAAATATGTGAGTTTACATTTCATGGAGTTATCTAAGTGAAGGAGACAGGATAAAGGGTTTTGCAGGGAACACCATGTGTGCAAAAGCCCTGTGCGGAAGATAATGAGTAATGTTTGAGAACTGAAAATCCCAAGTGGCTAGAATACAGAAACTGGGGGAAAGTGGTTTAAGATAGCCTCGGAGACATAAACGGGCCATATTATAAAAATCTTTTCAGGTCATGTTAAGAATGCGGTCTTTATCTTTAAAGCAATGAGAAGTGGTGTGGAATTTTAGGCAGGGTAGTGGCATAAGCTGATTTGTATTTGAGGAAAATTACAGTTGTAAAACTGAGAAAGGTTGCAGGGGCAGCATGAGTGGAGGCAAGGAGCCCAGTTAGGAGGCTGTCTGGTACTACAGCCCAGTTAGGAGGCTGTCTGGTACTACAAGTGGCAGATGATGTGGGTTGCACTAGACAGTAATGGTGACTGTAGAAAAAAGTTTACAGCTTTGATGTAAAGTCACAAAGTACTGTGTATCACCTCCATGCCATTTATCAAACTTTGCAATTGCCCATTTGTTTCTATGACTATAGAGTGATGTCTACCACTACTGATCTCTGCCCTCCATCAGGCTGACACTAGGTCTAATTTGGCTGTCCATTCTACCCCAGTGCTGAATACCTGGCACACAGTAATTGCTCCATATAGATTTGTTGATTACCTGAATGGAATTATATTCAAAATTAAAATTGTGTTATCACAATACATAAAAGTAAAGAGAGTTTTGCTAAACATTCTGTGTCCAAAACGCTTAATTTTAGAACTTTAAAAGAAATTTTAAAGTGTATAAAAAACCATAAAATATATAGGAATCCTAGAGTTTAGTATGTCTCACAGAGTTTCTAAAAGCTGGATGGTTTAGGTAGCTCCACCATGAGTTAGCCCACTATCTTATGATGTAATTTATTGCATTGGCAAATAACTGGGTTTTAAGAGTAATTCTTACAATATGACAAAATCTATATTCTTTTCACTTTCACTGTTAATTCTAGTTCTGAAGTCTGGACCAACATACAAAAATTCTAATGCTTTTATTATTTCAAAGTTATTTAAATATTTAAAGATGGCTCTGCAGAGTCTACTCTTTCAAGTCTAAATAATTTCAGCTGCTTTTATTTGACATGCTTTCTAGACTTACCATCCTAGACTTCTGAAAATTGTGATGCTTTTTTCCAAATGCCTTTCTTTAGATGCATTTTTGTTTGCCAATGCTTCTAAAACGTATAGCTACGTTTGGAAAGCACCATATTGTATAAATATACAGACATGTATTTTTAAAGTTTATGAGACAAAGAGTCAGCACCATGCTGCAACTGTGGTTTGATCAGCATTGTGTGCAATGGGTTTGTTGCTTCCCATAATCTTAGCATCATTCACAAACCATTTAAAAAACTAAAACTGACTGAGAAGAAGTCACATGCCTAAGTTGGGATGTGCTGATTCTTAGTCCATGCTTTCTACCTGCATAATTAGATGTACTTCTGGATGTTTACAATAAAAAGATGATGATCAAAAGAATAAGTGATCTTTACCATAATATACTTCCATTGCTAAAAATATACAATTACTATTGCACATCTAATTTCCAGACAAGATCTCAAAGCACTTAAGTGCAAATATTTTTTAATAAATTAGTCTGGTTTTCATATAGGCACATAGATAATGTTGTCGTTATAACTAAAGTTCTCTTTATATGAAATATACCTCACCAAGGGAATGTACATCTGTTTTCTGAAAAAGAAATTCAAATTGAGAACCTTGTCAGTATTAATTAGGATAATAATACAAACCACACTAGTTTAGTTATTTTCACTCATCTAATAAGCTCTTCAATAAAGATCTAAAAATGTATTTAAAACACATAAAACAAAATCATGTCTAATTATGAAGGGTAGTTGCTATTTTAATCTGCTTGCAGTTTTCAAACCAGATATAATGTTTTAGATGTTGTATCTGATATACTGAAGTCCAGTTACTATAGGATAATTAAGTTGGTTGTTAATTGTGGGATGTAACTGAAACAGAATCCATTATAAACTATAATATCTATTATTAAATGACAATTATTCCTATAAATGTTATCATTGGCTTAATAAATCAATATAGGTGATTTGAGAAACTATTAAGAAATGTCTAATTTTAAAATGTATTAAATTGTACCTTGTCTTATTGGATCTTCTAATAACAGATAAAATAGTACTTGTATGAATTTTTAAAACACACTGATGTGGACAAACACAGAAATACTGAATCTGCATGGCAAAAATACATGTCATAATGTATCATACACACAGCTAACATTTATTTTACAATCAACATTTTTTTTTACTGAGTACCTGATATGTAAAGTAGTATTATGCAATCTCTAAGAAATTTAGGTTAGAATCTGTTTTACTTGTGTTGTATAATTTTAAATAATAATGTTTAATAATATACATATACTACTTTTTAAATATATAAACACTATGTATAATATATGCATGTTTTCATATGTGTATATAATTTTAAACTGGAACACACTTAGATAATTATATGTATTCATTTTTCTATAAGCAGAGTAGTCATTAGTTTTTCAATAGATTAAATATTGAATGTAATTAAATTCCGATTCAGATTCACAGCAGGCTCTTTACACATAGCAAGTCTATGTGCTAGAACAACAATTATTAGTGAGTACAATAAATAAGTCTCATCTCATAAAATTCAAGAAAAAAATATCATCTGGACAGTAACCTAAAAACTAGACCAGGTAATCACCTGAGGTTCCATTTATTTACATTAATCTTCATTTCTGCATTGTAATTTTCATTTGTTGAATAAATTTCCTCTTACTGCAGATGAGAAGCATTCTACAAATATACCAGAACTAGTCCAGCATTTTTCAAACCTCTATTTTGATGTCACCTAAACACATTTTGAAAGCCCTTCACAAAATATTTAGTTGTTTAATTTTTCATAAAATTCTAGTCATTGCAAATTATATAATTTTTTAACATGTTGTAATTATTGACTTTTAAAATAAAAATTTTATGTCATTTAAAATGTAGCCAGTGGTGTCTACATACCATGGCAATTTTATACTTGTCATTATTCATATAAAAATACATTAATACATCTTTTCAACTGTCCAGAAATGTAATGTCATGACTCTTCTACTTGAACTTATATATCTATTTCACTTACACCGACAATTTTATTAAAATTTAATGAATTATTAGGTTTTAGTCTTTTATTGTTCCCCCATCGTACTTCTCTGCTTTATAATATGTATGTAAATTTAAATTTAATTTTTGAAAAAGTTTATCTGACTATAAGGTGCTGAAGTGCTAAAAATTTCTTTTGATAAAGACATAATTGCAATAATTAGTTGTAA